>NC_000002.12:28895623-29048373 GCF_000001405.40 Homo sapiens | reverse complement strand
TTATGTTGTGTATTTTAACACAATTCTTTTAATGGGGGGTGATATAGTTTGGCTGTGTCCCCACCCAAATCTCATCTTGAATTGTAGCTCCCACAATTCCTACGTGTCATGGGAGGGAGCCGGTAGGAAGTAATTGAATCATGGGGGCAGGTCTTTCCGGTGTACTTCTTGTGATAGTAAGTCTCATGAGATCTGATGGTTTTAAAAGGTTATAAGGGGGAATTTTCCTGCACAAATTCTGTCTTCCTTGCCACCATGTAAGATGAGTGGCATGATTGTGAGGCCTCCCCAGCAACATGGAACTGTTCGTCCATTAAACCTCTTTTTCTTTATAAATTACCCAGTCTCGGATATGTCTTTATCAGCAGCATGAGAACAGGCTAATACAGCAGGGAAAAGTGAGAACTATCTCAAGAGCCAAACCCAGGCACGCACCCTCCACCCCCACCCCCACCAAAGGCTGGGGGGGCTCTACCTGCCCCCCAACAGAGCCTCCTTCCCCATCCTGCTACATTTTATCCACTCTTGCTCCTTGAATTCTCTTCCACAGAGTGAGGCGTGTTTACACTTCAGCCCCCAGGAAGCTCACTCCACAGGAAGAGTAGCAGTCCCCACCCAAACTCAATTCCACAGCCCAGGCCACCTTCTCTGATCACGTCTTGGCTAATAGAACTCAGGCTACTTCAGAGCCACATTCCCCAGGTGCAAGGATGTGGCAGTCGCCTGGCTGGCAGGTGTTGACTCTTAAGCTGGCAAAGATGGTGAGGCCCTTCTGGGGGCCAGCATGCGGGAGCAAGCCCCATTAAACTCAAGCTTAGAAGCAGCTGAAGTAATTAGCAGAAGATTTACTCCTATTAAGCTGTGCTATTATTAGGCCTCGCCTGTGTCAATAAAAATTTTCTTCTGTGTTCCTGGTGGACACAGAGTTAACAGAAGACCTATGGAGAAGCTCTTCTTTTGAGGTCTCTTGGAAATAGACAAGAAAAAATTACAGTAAGTGGATAAGGTGAAGATACTTGCCCACCTCTGGGCCCCGTAAATTACCCAGACAAGGACAGGTAAACCTTTCATGCAGAAAATGCTGACTTTGAGCAATGGCAAAGGGTTCCTTGTCTGGTGTCTAGGACCATCTTACTTACATACCCTGTTCTCCCCCAGCTCACCTGCAGCCAGCCCTGCCTCACTCGCACCTGCCTTCCCGTAAGGTAAGAGGCCACTCCAGGAATGCTGGAAGGACAGAACCTGCATAGAGGCAAGGCCAGGCGCAAGAGATGGGGCAGGGGAGAAGCTGAAAGGGCAGCTGGTGCCAAGGTCCTCAGCCATGCAGCATGTGCCAGGCCCCTCTCTGGATGCTCACAGCTGGGCTAGGAGGGGAGGGCAGTAGACAGACCAGTGATACCATGTGGGATGCAGTCTTGAGAAGCACACAGGGAGAAGGTAATGCCAGAGCCAAGCAGGCATCCCCCAGGTAGAGGAAGAAGAATGGAGAAGGCTTTCCGGGCAGGGCAGCCACAAGTGGGCAGAGCAAGAAGTTGAGAGACCGGCCACTGCATGCAGGCACCCAGGAGGCAGAGTGCCAGGGGGAAGCAGCACAGCACAGGGTTGGGGTCTTGGCCCTTCAGCCAGGCTCCCAGGACACATCCTGGGCTCCTCACCAAGAGACCTTGTGCATTTCACTTTTCTGAGCTCCATTCTCCTTTTCTCCACCAAGTGGAATCTACATCCTCCTGTGGGGTGGTCATGAGGATTCAATGAGCATAGAGCTGGGGTGGGAGGAAGGCGGCACATCCTAGAGCAGCAGTGACAGCTGTGGGCCACTCCAGGGGGCCTGGACACTATCCTGAAGACAGCTCAGGAGTCTCACAAAGATTAAAGCAGGGCTGGTGCATGATCTGTCTGCATTTCAGGGGGACCATCGGGAGTCTAGGGAACAGAGTCCCTCTGCCCCCCTCCCTAGATGGGACCTTCCCAAGGCAGGGGAGGAGGCTTTGTGCAAGCAAAAATGATCATGAAACCAAGATAAGTAACCTGCCCAAGGTCAGGGCTGGTGGTGGCAGATGGGTGTGTGGACACCAAAGCCTGTGTCCTTTCTGTGTTGCCACCTCAAGGACCACAAGAACAGATTTCAGCCCTGGAATGAAGTCACTTGGACTTCTCCTGCAGACTCAAAGCAGAAACAGGATTGGAGCAACCCTTCACCAGCTGAAGCTTGAGCAAGGCTGAGTAGACTCAGGCTAAGGCCCCGTCTCCACATAATACAGTCCCAGCACTGGCCAAGGGGTCCTGAGGGGTTGAAACCCAGCTGGTGCCTGCTTGCCAGGCTGCACATGCTAAAGTTGTACATGGCAACTTTTTCTAATTCTCTTGATGGTGCTGTCAACTGACCAAGCCATATGCACCCACTAGGCATGGTCTGTCTGAAAAAGGAGGCTTTTTTCTGACTCACACAAAGGTACTCTATAGGCTAGAAGCAGCCTTGTTTGCAAGGAGGAAGAAACGCACACAGGTTGAGTGTCCCTTATCTAAAATGTTTGGTACCAGAAGTACTTCGGCTTTTTTTCTGATTTTGGAATATTTTCATGATACCAGTTCTGCATCCCTAATCCAAAAATCTGAAATCGGAAATGCCCCAATGTACATTTTCTTTTAATGTCATGTCAGCGCTCAAAAAGTTTCAGGTTTTGGAGCATTTCTAATTTTCTGATTAGGGAGATTCAACCTGTAACAGTTTTTTAAAAACACTTTTGCTTTTGTACAAACCTACTTCATTTTGATCAAAAACAAAGATTGTCTTCTGGCAATATGGAGATTGTCACACACAAAAAAAGCAGATTTTCAAAATTTTAAATGATTGGGGGGGATTATTTCAGGTCTAAGATAACTGGGTGAATGGTTCAACCACAGACCAGGAGAGAACAGAAATCTGCCAGGAGATGGGGTGGGGTGGGGCTGGGGGTGCTCACCTGCCAGGCGATCTGTGACATCCAGCACCGCACGGCCACTCAGGAAACGCACTCGCCCAGCAAGCGCTGGTAGAAGGCAAAGGTTGTCTGAAAGAGAAGGGGGATGTCAGTGGCCACACTGCTGGGGGCTGAGTGACAGCACTAGGGGTTTGCAGGGCCACATACCCACAGTACCTGCAAGGGGATGAGGCCTTTGGGGGAGCTGAATTAATTTTTCCAGGTCACAAAGGGGCCACTTAAAGTGAATGTATGTAGCGTGTTTGGGAAAGAATCAGTGGCCTGAAAGAGTTAAACTGGCTCCCAAACAGGCCTCATTTATTCCCACAGATCTGGTTCATATTGCCTGTGCGTCTCAAAATTGACAGGAGTTTTGGGGCAAAGCAAAGTAGACAGGTAGGTAGGTAGGTAGATAGATGACAGAAGATGGATGGATGGATGGATGATGGAGAGAAGATGTTGGAGGATGGATAGATAGAAGATAGATAATAGAGATGGATGGATGGATATACAGATATGTTTTAGGGGAAACAGAATCACTGAGCCATGATTACACAAAGGTCAGTGAAGGGTTAGGATTAAAATTCAGAAAGTATAGCTCTTCTCAAAGCCTGAATTTGTGCTCTACCCACCAAGATGTACCCACAGCTGGTGGTGGTTCATTTCTACACTGAACACATACTGATATCATCTATGTAACAGGCATAGAGCTAGGAGCCAAGTAAAACCCAGTACTCCCATCCCCCTCAAGAGGCTCCTCTGACAAGCAGACAGACGCTTAGACATGAACCCTGACACCAGGTGAGAAGCACTGTGCTCTTGTAACCAAAAGCCTGCAGGTCTGAGGCCAGGGTGACTGACTGGTCCTGGTGGGCCCGGGCTCTCCCCATTTCAGCACTGTCAGTCCCGAGTCCCGGGAACCCAGGATGCTTGGTCATCCTATCCAGAGCAGAAGCACCCGGCTGGCTCTGGCAGGGTCAGAGGAGGGAGTTTGTGGGCTGAGGAGCACATATTATCATCAATGGTTTATATATGACCTCACTGCCCTGGCCTGATTTTCTCCTTACTTGTAAACTCCAGGTGGTCTGAGTCTCAGACCCAGCATGAATGTACTTGCAAAGATGGCTGAGTTTATCGTCTATATGCCCCAATATGCCTTTCGGGAGGTTTGGGAAAAGAGGTGTTTTAAACCTTTTTGAAAAAATTGTCCCAGTGTGCCCGCCCCCAATCCCAGCTCCACCAACCATCCAGCCACACCCAGCTGCGAGGCGCAGCTCCCTGGCTGCCCAGCCATGCCCATGGGTAAAGTTCTGGGGACTGAGCACCACCCCATTTGTATCTTGAAAGAACTGAAATAGTATGAGTGTTTATTACAGAGATGAGCCACTAATGGTGAAAACACAAGCAAATGGGGTGGGGACATTTCCGGAATAAATTGGCTGTCTGGCTCCTTCATATTCCCGAAGTCGACTGCAGCAGGACTCCGTATCTACTGAATTTAGAAGCTGCTTGTTCCTCTCCATTCTAGCTGACACCTCCTGGTTTCTCAAACTATTAAACTTGAAGAGATGCATTTCTCACAAAGACACACAACGTGAGAAAAATGGGCCTGTCCTAGAAAGGTGTGCTAAGCTGAGAAATACACACCATCATCAGAACCTTCTCCTTGTGGACTGCAGAGAAACCAGCATGCCAAGCTCCCAGCATTTTGCAACCACACTAGTCACAACTTAATTCAGTAGGAAGTTGGGCAAGTAACAAAATGCATTTTTCAGAGATGTGGCTTTGTGTCTTGCCTGCACCTGTCAGGTAGGTGAGGGCAGGTGGCCTATGTGGTGTTACCACAGCAGCCCAGCACGTGTATCCTGGGACCCAGGAGCTGACCTTCTCCAGGCCAGACTTCTCTTTACAGGGGACAGAGTTTTTAGAGTTCTGCACGAGGAAGTCTTTCCAGTCTCACTTTTTCCAAGTTCCTTCAATACCTCAGCACAGAGCCCCTGCATTCCTGGAGAGGGGCACTCAGTGCTTTGTTTTTCTCATCAGGCACAAGTTTATCTAAGAGCTCATCCCTGCTTCCCTTGCTGTCCTCCTGAGGGATACAGAGGAGAAAATGTACCCAGGTACATCTCTGCTGTTTGCAAAAGCTCCATCCGCAAATCAAGCGGCTTTAAAATAATTTGCCCTGGGAGATAAATGAGATGCCAGCTTCTAGAATATAGTAATTAGCAAGATAAGGTCTCGGGGTGCATTGGTAAAGCTGTCAATTGCGTTAAGAATAGATTTTCATATGAATGGCACCTGTTTGTTTCCAGGTGTTTCTATTTGTCCCACCCCATCATTTACCTGGGCTCAGATTTGAAGACAAGGACTTCTTCCTCCGTCACCTCCCACAATGCTCAGCCTAGAACATTCTCTAATGTAAGGAACATGGCTGTGCTTTGGTCAAGGATAGGCCAAGGTAAACATCCAGAGTGACTCAGCAAGTTTAGAGCACAGACGTATAACTCCACTTGTTATCACAGTCGTAACATGGGAAGGCCATGCCTTGGCCCTGTGCCACTATGGTCTGTAAAAGGCATAATTGCCCTGCTGACACTGTGCAGGCTTGTGTGTGCCCAGAGAGAGAGTGAAGCTACTGCCCCCTGTAAGAGAGAATGCCCGTCTGGCAGTCGGACACGGAGCTAGGAAACGGCTTGTGCCCAGAGGGAAAGAGTTAAGCTGCTGACCCTGAAGGCAAGGGAGAGCCGGCGCAGCTGTGTGTGGGAGCCAACAGACTAAGCAGCTGAGACAGGGCAGATGGTGTGAGAGTAAGCTGCTGCAGAGAGCTGCTGCTGAATAAAATCATCTTTCACCTGCCTGTAGCCCCCCCGAGTGTTCTTTCTGCTCATCCACCCACTCCCTTCAGACCTCAGCATGAGCTGGAACCTGACCCTAGACACATCTAGACCTGACATCTAGACACAGCAGGGGCTCCCGCCTCTGGCCCCAAACATCCCCTCTCCCCAGAGCCAGAAAGAAGTGAATTTGGGGAACACTTAAAAATGCATATCCAGCAGAGACCTGTGCCAGACCATGCTCCCACGGTGCACAGCACACTGCAGGTGCTGAATAAATGCTTGTAGCTGCAGGGCAATGTCAAAACAAGACACAGTGTGCCTGGGCTGGTTTATGAACCCCAGAGCACTATGCCCAGGCATTTGGCCTGTCTTTCCGCTGGCCACTTTTAGAGTGAAGGCTCACCTTTCAGGTTACCTCCAGGTTCAATAAGACACACTAAAGCATAGCAGTTGTAAGAGCTCTGAATACAGATTGCCTGGGTTTGAATCCTGGTTCTTCCATATTTTACTGTGGAACATTGGACAAGCCACTTATCTGCTCTATGACTCAGTTTACCCAACTATAAAATGGGGATGATACTAATAGCTTTCTCATAAAGTTGCTGTAAGGGTTCAATGAATAAACAGTGCTTAGGATAATGCCTACAGCATATAATTACTATGCAAGTATCAGCTATTATTGTTACTATTATTACCTTAAAACTCTGAGAGCCCAGCAACCACAATGGTAGAGAGACCAATGAAGAGGCTAGAATCTAATTTTTAAAAGCTGAAAATCTACACTCCATTAGCCTAACCTGGTGCTTTCCTAGGCTCCTTTTCTGCCTCACAAGGAGGCAAAGACTGGCCTTGAATTGGAGAGAAAACAGCCACTAGCCGCAGCCCAGAGACTGTCCTTCCTAGGCTCAGACTCCCCTCTCTACAATGAGGTGGAGGTCTAAGGGGCCTTACACCTGTCCCATTCAGCCAAGCCCTGAGGCTACCAGGCCACATCATCCTCCAGCTACTGGGAAGCCAGATAAGAGCTTTTAAGAAAGCGTAGAAAACATGGTAGCAAGGAAACTGGAGTCGGACTGGAGTCCCCTAAATAAGCACAAGACTTGGTAAGTTATGACGCGCTGGTTTTACCAGATTCACCATGGCTACCAGCACTAGGGATGTTCATCTAAAGAAAAAACTGTGACTGATTCACTTGCACAGAAACATGCAAGTTATGATGCAGTCACGTGATGGAGCTGTTAAAAGTGACTCAAGGCCGGGCGCAATGGCTCACACCTGTCATCCCAGCACTTTGGGAGGCCGAGGTGAGCAGATCACCTGAGGTCAGGAGTTTGAGACTAGCCTGGCCAACATGGTGAAACCCCATCTCTACTAAAAGACAAAAATTGGCCGGGTGTGGTGACATGCACCTGTAATCCCAGCTACTCGGGAGGCTGAGGCAGAAGCATCGCTTGAGCCCAGGAGGCGGAGGTTGCAGTGCGCCCAGATTGTGCCACTGCACTCCAGCCTGGGTGACAGAGCCAGACTCCATCTCAAAAAAAAAAAAAAAAAGTGACTCAAGAGTATAATCATCTGCAAATGCTTATGCTATGATTTTTTTAAAAGCAGGATGCGAATCCAAATGTATAACACCACAACTGCTGTGCTGAACCCCTATTAACCCCTATTAATAGGAAGGGTATCTGGTTCAAGAGGCCAAAAAAGAGACTCAAAGCCAACAAACGAGACACGGGGTTTTATTAGGGGCTTACCTACAGGGGAGAGAGTCTAGTGGCAGCAGGCTGAATGGGAGAGCCTTATGGCGCAGTGGCGGAGGGCTGGGCAGGAAAATCGCAACTGCCTGCAAACAGCATGCAATTTACATAGCACTTTCACTTAACACCTTCCACCTGGCAACCTTCATTTACCCCAAAATTCAGGGCCTCAATCCCCTGTATGGCTCATGTTCCAAGGGAAGGTCGGGAGCTCAGATGTGCCTCATAAACAAGGAATGAATCTCCAAGTTGGCCACTCCCAGATACCCTAGCTCAGAACACACACTCATTGTGTCTGCCATTCAGGATCATTCTAAGGGGATGCTAAAGTTATTGCTATCAGGTGGATTTACCCTACAACAACCATGTACACAAATGTGCACAGGAAAAAACTCAAAAAAATGCCAAATGTTAATAATGGTTTCTCTGAAGAGTTGGGACTATGAGTGAGGGATTTTTTTCCCCTTTCAAATGCTTTGTATCTTCATTTATTCAAAATAAGTATGACTTCTTTACAGTGGTAGAAGTGAACTTTCGGTTTTCTAATTAACTAGAAAGACTGCCCAGTAGCATGTGAAACTGGGTAGTGTTAAATGAAAGAAGCAAAATCAAAACTATATTTACATTATGATTTTTAACAAGGGAAATTTGTATATAGACAAAAATAGAAGAGATATTTTTAAGCAGTTGGTATATTGGAGGAGCACCATGGATGCATTTTTAAATTCCATTAACATTATAATGTTGATATGATTTATATAAGGTAATAAATTTAAAGTCAGAGAGCAAAATAGCAAAAGTAGACCTGAAGCCACCCGCATTCCAAGCTTATCTGCCCTCTCCAGTACTGACCAGGGGCTGGAGTAAATTAAGAAAGTTCCTTTTGGCACAGAGAAGCTTGAATGCTGAGGTCTGATCGGGAGGGGATGAGCTGTCAGCAGCCTGATGTTTTCATTAGCGAAGTTTCTTCTGTAACTAACCCAATAAGAGCCCAAAGACAGAGCCAACCAGTTCTACTCAGGAACTTCCTTGATCCCAGAATAATTCCCCTGAAATCAGAAGGTCTTGGTGCTGAGTAGGAAGAATGCCACTTGAGCCCCAATCCCAGAGAGGCCTCAAGGCTGGCAGTGAGAGATGGCAGAGGTCAGGGAGCAAGCTGCAAACATGTCTCATTCCTTACTACCTCCCATGAAAAGGACATGGGCAGAAATCCCCACCTGCTCTGCCAACCAATACTCCATTCAACCCCACCCAGCCTGGGGAAACCAAGGGATTAGAAGCGATGATACTGGCTTCTTTATCACTGAATTCTAGAATTAGTGAGTTCTAGAAGGTCCCCCCAAGAAGGCCATCCTCCCGACTTGGCTGTGCCATCTGGACTTTATGCCAGAAGGCATCCTAGCTTGGCATTATTCTTGATCCCCTTGACCTCCAGTTTAGCAGGAAATAAACAGTAACCTGCTGAGCTGTTGCTTTGTGACTTTCCACATTTAAATATTTCACAGCATTCAACAGTCGTCTCCAGCCTGGAGCCCAGAATTTCTTATGGAGCATGAAGAAGGAGGTTTGGGGAAAAGCTCCTTCCCATCAAAGAAACTGGATCATGTCCGATCCAAGCCACTTCCAAGAGGGGCCTCAGGTGTTAAAGGTCCCCCAAGAAACCACTAGAACCACCAGGCTCAGCTTGGGTGATTTGGGAAGACTTCATACCCCTTCTCTTCCGTCCGATTTGATGCACTCTCTGCTGCTATCACCCAATCCCCTGGGACAGCGGGAAATTTAGTTACTTCCATCTGCAGGCCAGGCTCAGACCATGACAGGCAGATAAGAACCATTCCCAGAGGCAGATTCTACCCTAGGTACTCCCTGGCAATGAGTCCCCCTTGTTGGTAACCTACTCCCTCCAGTTCTGACCTACATGGATGTGGAAATCAGCTGGTCACTTCAAAGTTAGGAACACTTTCAAAACCTGTTTTGCTGGCTGGGCTAAGAGGGTATGGCTTGCAGCAAAGCCATCAGGCCCAGATAGCCCATGCTTCACCTGCTCAAAAATTACCTGGATCCAAAACAGCATATTTGGCCTGACACGGTGGCTCACACCTGTAATCCCAGCACTTTGGGAGGCCGAGGCAGATGGATCGCCTGAGGTCAGGAGTTCAAGACCAGCCTGGCCAACATACTGAAACCCCATCTCTACTAAAAATACAAAAAATTAGCCAGGCGTGGTGGCACACACCTGTAATCCCAGCTACTTAGGAGGCAGAGATTGCAATGAGCTGAGATCATGCCATTGCATTCCAGCCTGGGTAACAACAGCAAAAATTCCATCTCGAAAAAACAAAAACAAAAACAAAAACCAGTATATTTTACCCTTTGGGCTCCACCTGAGCCTTTTGCCAGGGATTTACTGGACTCCATTCATCCCTTTGAGGGCCACACCATTCCATTCCAGCCTAAGCCCTGACCTATGGATTAGAGAGGAAGAGAGCCAACCCTTCCCATTGCACCAAAGCCTCTGGATGATGAACCAGAGGGTACATTATCAGCCGTACCCAAGGAGGCCCTGTCCCAGAAGGGAGAACATAGGCATCTTCCTAGTAGCTACAATCCTGCTACCAGGTGAGTTCAGATCACAAAAGCAGGCCACCCCCAGGCTCTCCTTTCCAGGATGCCCAGTCTAGTAGGGGTACAACAGGGCCCCAAATAAGAGGGACCTGAATCTTGTGACAGTATGAGACACTAGATTTTTTGCCCAAAGCGCCACAATTCCAGAGCTCAAGGAGGCTGGCCTGATGGCAAAAAGTGGAAACTAAAACACCTGGAGGGGGAAGAGTTAAAAATTCCTCTCCCTAGACAAGGGTACTTATCCTCTTCAAATAGCTAAAGCCTATTTTGCTTGGTACAGGTTTTCCCAATAAATCCAAGGCCCATGGTGATTTACCAAGAGCCTTGGTTATTGGCAAGAGCAATCTCACTTACCCAGAGCAATGCTGAGAACAAGCCGTAATTTAGAGCTGGATTTATATTGTTTGTTCTACAGCAACAAACTCAGCAAATCATAAATTCCCTCTGAGATGAAGAGTGGAAATTGACAATATTTATGAACTCAAGAGGCAGAGAGGGACCTGACCAGGCCTTTGATTTGTAACTGAAACTTTTCCTGGAGCCTCCAGCCAAGGACACGGTGCCTGTCCCAGCCCCAGGGAGCTGGGCTCAGGCCAGGAAGTGGGGTGGGGTCGGGGGGAGGGGGACAGCAAGTGTATCAGGAGGGGTGTCCAGCCTCTCTAAAGGATGGTCTTTGGATGCTAAAGGCAAGACGTTGCTCTATGCTCATGAGGACACACAGCAACAAGGCAAACACAGGTGGTTTTCAGACCATGGCTTCCTCGTACTGAAGCAAGGCTTGTTTGGGAAAGCTCGTCCTTGTACTGGGCTGGCCATAAGTCTACTCATGTGCTACTTTCTCCACACACCTAAAGTTTGGAATTTGCACTTTGGTCCACGTACTGGGTACACCAAACATCACCTTTTAGCATCCATGAGAGGAATAAGAAAACACAAGCAGATGCACCAACATTTCCCTTAACGTTCCAGAAGCAAGATGTCATACCTAGAAGCTCTCACCTTTCCTGATGGCTCTTCCATAGCTCCCACCGTTTTTTCTTCTATCCTTTTTCCCCTCCCTCCACTTTCCCTCCCTGCCCATCACCACAAACCCCACGCCAAGCCCCAGCCCAGCTTAAGCCTTCCCAGCACTCCTGACTCACCCACTGGGGTGCTTTGTGACCCTGGGGGGTCATTTCCCTCATGTGTCTATGAGGAGGCTGGACTGGATCATCTCCACATCACCTCCACTTCCAGCCGTCCAGAGGTGTGGGTGGCTGTGACATAGAAAAGCCCACTGGCCAAGAGCCTTGGAGGCCCTGGGCTCCACCTCTGCCCTACACAGCCTCTGGTGAAACATCTGGCCTGGGAACCAACCAAGGCCTTATCCACCTTGCAGATTTCCAAGCAGGAGGGTGGACATGGTGACCAGAGCCACACAGGCCCACGTGGGACACTCACCCAGGCTCTCAACCATCGCATCCAGCACAGCCACGGCAGCAGCGTAAATCCCTGAGTTCTTGGAGTTGAGGTTGTCTGCAACAGTGATGATGATGGAGAGCAGCATGGGGTGTAAGCTCTCTCTGAGGAGGGGGATCATCTTGGCGAAGGACTCCAGCGCCCACTGGTTCACTTTCTTGTTGGAATCCTGAAGCCTTGGGGTGAAAGCATCAAAGACCTATTGAAGAAACAGAAACCAAGAGCCCATGGGAACCCAGGCTGGGCAGGACTCCCACAGTGCAGGCAGCTTGGAGCTCACCTGGCCCAACTGAGCGACCTCAGCAGAGACTCCTCCTGCGTCCCTGACCTATGCCACAGCACTCTCAAAAATGAAGAGCTCACCTCAAAAGGGTGGGAAGAGGGGAGGAACCAACAGGTATTGAGCACTCATTGCATGCCAAGTGTCCAGGGCGTCTTGTTAGTTGCTGTGCAATCATTTTTACTGAATGATCTTAACAACCCATGGAGCACATTTTCACCCCCACTTTCCCATAAACAACAACAACTGGGGCTCCAAGAGGTTCAATGATTTGCCTGAGATCACACAGCTAGTAAGAAGCTTGGATGGAAACCCAGGTCTGCTGACTCTGAGCTGTGTCTTTGCTCAGCTGTGTAACTGACTGTCAGCAGCCTCAGTCCACCAAGAAGCAGGCACCCACCTGAGTGTTCAGCCTATGAAGGGCTTGTACCTACTCCTAACACACCTGTCCAGCCATCACAGCCAAGTCACCTGTCCAGCCACATGCTCTGCCCCCAAACATGATGCACCTAGCTCCCCAGAAGCAACCCAAGGCCTCACCACAGTATCCTCCACCTCTACCTCCTACCCTCCTCACTGTAAATCTGCTAGAAGGACAAGAGACATCTCTGAGCATTTCCAAGCTGCCGGCAGGAGGCGGTGCCCTTGCCCACTCAGCCACTTCCAGGTAGTCTCCATGTTACAAAGGCCAACTGCATAGCAAGGGGTCTGACACATGTCCAACGCCATTCAGAGTTTTCAAACTTCAAGTTGCACCCCCCAGAGGAGAGACAGGTGGGAGAGTAAAAGCAAGCGGTGCTCACCTGGACCAGGTGGGCAGTGACAAGCTCCGTCTTGGCCTTGCAGAGCTCCAGGAGCTGCCCCACGCCTTCCATCCGGGACCGGAAGTCCTTGGCCTCCAGCAGCCGTGTCAGCTCCCGTAGCTGCTCCACCATCTCCCCGCGGCCCTGCAGTGTGGAGCGCAGCCCCACCAGCCTTGGGCCATTGCAGCTGAGCCTAGGTAAGGAGCGTGGCGTCTGAACCCCCCAGGGAAGAGCCCGGGGGAATGAACCCACTTCTGGTCCCATGCCACCTCCTACAGGCAGGTGGGGCAGAGACAAGAGTGTCACCTGCAGGTTAGTCCACCCCCAGCTTCCCCTCCACCTACAGCTTGTTGCCCAGGGCTCCATCCCCTTGTCAGGGGCCAGGGCTCTCTCTTCCTACCTTTTTCTCTTTTCAGAAGATATGTAAGCAATGGGGGAAGTCAGAGTGAGGAAGTGGCTATCCACAAAAGAATGACTGGTACACATTTTTTTTTTTTTTTTTTTTTGAGGCAGAGTCTCGCTCTTGCTGCCCAGGCTAGAGTTTAATGGCCCAATCTCAGCTCACTGCAACCTCCACCTCCTGGGTTCAAACGATTCTCCTGCCTCGGCCTCCCAAGTAGCTTGTATTACAGGCATGTGTCACCATGCCCGGCTAATTTTTGTATGTTTAGTAGAGACAGGGTTTCAGTATGTTGGCCAGGCCGGTCTCAAACTCCTGACCTCATGATCCACCCACCTTGGCCTCCCAAAGTGCTGGAATTATAAGTGTGAGCCACTGCACCTGGCCAACTGGTGCACATTTAATGTAAGAGTGGGGAAAGACCTTGGAGGTCATCACAGCCAACCTTCTGCCCAGCTCCTATATCCTGATCCCTGGCTGGCTAGGCTCTGCTCACACTCCCCCAGCAACTGGGGACATTGTAAAAAGCCCCATTTTCTTACACTGGGATCACATGCCCATCACAGCCCCCTAGCCCCTTCCAGCCAGCATAAGAACAGCTCTGTGCAGAACTACTGTCTCCCACCTTCAGCTCCAAGCCTGGGTCACTGGCTCATGCCCTACACCCAGGTCCCATCCAGCAGAGCCCACTGTCCCTCATTCTGTGATTCACTCCTGCATTCCACACTCATTGTCTACTGAGAGCCAAGAGCTGTGCTGGGCACTGAGAACCGTGAGATGAGAGCACAGCCTTTGCCGTTAGGAGCTCACAGACCAAGGGAAGATAGATACATCAACGGGGCTGACAGAGGTATGAAGAACAGGCCAGCCTGTCACCCTGAGGACATGAGGACACAGAGTGGTAGAGCTTCCTGGAGAAAGTGACAGGTGAGCTGAATCTTGCAGAACCAATAGACATGTTCTAGGTGCAGATGGTGTCTAGGATAAGCAAAGGCACAGCAGGGAGAGAGGATGTGGAGGGGCATGAATACCAGCTGCTCTCATGTTTTGCTTATCCCAGGTGCTGCTCTGGTCAGGCCGAGACAGGAAGAGTGGGAGAGTAGGCAGGAAGTTACCTTTGAAGAAGTGGGCATGGGGCTTCCCTAGTGCCCTGCTAAGGAGTTCAGATGGGATCAGCCCAGGACATTACAGAAGGGCTTCAGTTTTAAGCACAGGCGTGACCATCAGACTCCTGCTTGGTTTCTAACTGCTCCCAGCAACCCCACACCCCCTCCTCCCAGCCCCTCAGTCCATGTCTTCTCATCTGCCTTAGTTCAGGCTGGGCCTCTGAACTAGTCCCAGGCTGGCCACTCTGGTGGTTAAAGGATCTGCTGGTCTAAGCGAACGAGGAAACACTGAGCTCACACAGAGAGTCCAACCACCGATGCTAGTGGAACCCCGCCCACTCAGCTGGGACTGCAGGAACCAACTTCTACTGGCAGATGCTCCCAAGCCCAGGATTTGGTCTCCCTGGGATTTGGGTTGGGGGGAACACATCCTGCAAATTCATCTATTAGTATTGCAGCCCCAACTAGGTCTCAGCGATACCCCAGATCCATATGTCCACCCCAGAGCCACCCCTGGCCATGGACAAGCAGGATGCCTCTGTCAGAAGTCTTAGATGTGAAGCCCAGAGATACAGGAGCAGCCATACCCCTCCTTGATGGGCAGCCCGTTCTCACACACCACCAGACTCCTCAACACCTTGCGGCCTTTGGCAGAGGGAAGTTCATCATTATCTTCTATTCCCTTGAAAAAATACACACAGAGCATGAGCCAAAAGGAGTGGCCCTCCAGGGAAATGCCAGACATTCCAGTGGAGACATAACAATGGCAATAATCCCTTCCACCTAGGAGAGCTTCAGATGTCACAGTTGAGCCTTCCAGAGCCCTGAAAGCAGCTGGGGCAGAGATCAAGATCCCTGGTTAACAGATGAAGGCATGGAGGCCCAGGGAGGCTCAAGGAACATGGGTAGTGTGAGGTTAGAACCAGGTGTGAGCACAGAGGACAGAAATCACATCTATCTCACCTATCAGGAGTAGTGGATGAAATCAACATCTCTGGAATCCACTCCCCACTCCCCTGACCCACATGAAGGCTACCAGGCTCAGCACTGTCACCCCCACCCCCAAAAGGCCATGACCCACTTATGCCCCACAGCTCACCTGCTGTTTAATGGCCGCCATGACCTTCTGCAAGTCGTAAGATGGGAGAGATTGCTTCAGAAATGCATCAAACTTAGTGTTCGCCATCAAGATATTCACCATCTTCCGGCCATAAAATCTGCCACAGGAGAGAGAGCAAGATAAAGAAACAGCCTCTGAAATGCAAAATAAATTTGCTTTACAGCTTTACATAATCTTCCTAATTAAAGAGAGTTTTTAATACTTTTTCTAATTACAAAAGCAATCCCTACCCAGTTAAAAAATAGATTAATAAAATAAACATCATCTATAATCCCATTACCAAGAGAAAATCCCTATTAAATTTTTACATATTTTCCTATAGTCTTTTTTCTGTGGCATTTACTTTCTAGTTGATATCAGAATGTATATACAAGTTGTATTCAGCTTTTTCACTTTATCATTCATTAATCATCTTCCCAAGTCCCTTAAAACTCTCCATAAACATCCTTTTTAATGGCTACAAAATATTCCGTTGAATGGCTATACCAAAGTGTACTCAATTTTGTTCTAATATGGAACATTTAGAAGTCCCAGAAAGGGTAAAGCGGGACAATATAGGAGGGTGTAGTCAATCTACCTGATGAACAGTGGTGGCAGGTGAGGGAATCAAGGAGGGCTTCATAGAAGAGGTGACCCTTGCGTTGGGGCTCAACAGATAAGTAGGAGTTCACAAGTTGGGTGGGATTTGGGATACGTCGGAGGAACAGGGTTATTTAGGTCTATAACACAGTGTGACATGTCAGCAGGGGGATATATTGGAGAATAGTGAGCAGAGGTTGGACACAGGAAGCAGACAGGCCAGAGGAGAACACAGGACCCTGTTTAGGGAGACATGAAGGAGTTAGGCTTCAGTTTGCATGCAATAGGAAGCTGAAGAATGATTCAATTTGTACATCAGTCAAAATGTCTCTAGCAGCAGTGTGGAGGATGGATTGGTGGAGACAAGGCTAGGGGCCAGGAGACTTATTAGGAGGCCACCATAATAGTCCAGGAAAAAGATGGTGCAGGCCTGAAATCAGGCAGTACAGTGAGGATAAGGAAGCACAGTCAGATCCAAGAGCTGCTGAGAAGATGGAAACCACAGGATTTGGTAGCTGGTGGGAAGTGAAGCAGGAAGCATCTAAAATCTTAAATCATATTTCATTCAAACTTAAGACTCCATTAATTGTAAAAGGTGCCCTTACTTTATTTTCCACTAAGGAAAATCAGAAAAATAAAAACTGGTGATTTCCATAGCCTCCAATGACACTGCCCCATGTGTGAGGGCAATCTTTCTATGTGCTATCTCAGAAACAGAAGATAGCATTGCTTGTCGGTATTTTTCTTCCTTAGGTCAGGTAAAGTTCTTAGTGATTGCTTTGCAAAAAATGTGGGACTTGGTCATTCCTTCCACAGTGAGAGTTTGCTTCATTGATATCTAATGGATATCCACTGACGTTGCCATGCCTTTTCTCATATACAATAATTATTCATTTCAATTGCAAATAATAGTGTAATATTTCTAAGAAACTTTAAACAGATTAAACTCAATGATTCTCCAGAGAGCATCCAAAAATCACTTCTGAAAATAAATTTAAAAATTTACAAAGAAAGGCTCATAGTGTAGTTCCTACAATGGAAAATTTAATTCAGAAAATAATACTCTGAGCAACACTGACTAAGTTTGTGAAGGTGCAGATAGTATAACTACATCATAAACTGGGCACAGTGGTGCACACCTATTGTCTCAGCTATTTGGGAGGCTGAGTCAGGAGGATTACATGAGCCCAGGAGTTCAAGGCTGTAGTGTGCAATGATCACACCTGTGAATAGCCACTGCACTCCAACCTGGGCAACATAGCAAGACCCCATCTCTTAAAACTACAAAAACACCTATGTCCTAATCACTGCCTAGCCCAACTGAAGCCCAACAGCAACTGTGAAATGCCTGTCATTGTAAGATACATGCCAATTTTAAAAATATTAAAACCAGGGAAGGATGTGTGTCTTGAAATCAATGAAGTATGGGAGTCCCCATTGTGCCTCTTGGGTGGCTCAGTAAATAACAGTCACTTTTAATGATAGAGAGAACACAGAGAGGCAGACTTGGAGAGGAGGCAATGAGTTCATTTAGGGACACTCAGCACTGCAGATGGCAGTAGGACATCAGATGGTGGGTCCCATGGAGGCTTTAGAAATGGGGACTGATGCTCGAAGAAGGGTCTGGAGTGGAGGGCAAGAATTGAGAAGCCTCCAACTTTGCTGGTGGCTGGAGCCACCAGAAGTAAAAGCCAGGAGAGGGAGATGAGGACTAAAGACACCTTGGCAGCACCTACACTCAGGTGGCAGTCAGGGGCAGAATGGTCACAGAGGGACAAGGAGAATCCCCGGAGTACAGTGCCATGGAAACCAGGAAGGACAGAGTTCTAGGAAGGAAAAGGAAATGTAGTCACCATCATCTAGTGTAAGGGATGGGTCAGAATGGAGAGGAGTAGCAGATCTGGAGAGACTTTAGACCTTGATTTCCATCCCTCTAACAACCATTTAAAACCAACAAGCAAACCAAAACCTTCTACGTCCTTTTTTTTTTCGTTGCATGGCAGAGTTACACAACACTTTATTATATAGTAGATGCTCTAGTAGATGCTACACAAAGAATAGCTGTTTATAGACATTTCATCCCATTCTTCCAGTCCCCCTAAACTCACTCTTCAAAGTATTTGCTCCAAGTTTAATGGCTATGTGATTTGTGATTTTTTTATTTATTTATTTTTTTGAGACAGGGTCTCACCCTGTTGCCCAGGCGGGAGTGTAATGGCCCTATTTCAGCTCACCGCAACCAGTGCCTCCTGGCCTCAAGCGATCCTCTTATCTCAGCCTCTCAAGTAGCTGGGACCACAGGCACGTGCTACCATGCCCGGCTAATATTTTGGTATTTTTTGTAGAGACAGGATTTCACTGTGTTGCCCAGGCTGATCTCAAACTCCTGGGCTTAAGAGATCCACCTGCCTTGGGTTCCCAAAGTGCTGGAATTACAGATGTGAGCCACTGCACCCAGCCAGGCAATGTTTTGTTTGCCTGTTTTTGTTTTAATTTTTTATTTCCATAGGTCATTGGGGAACAGGTGGTGGTTGGTTCCATGAGTAAGTTCTTTAGTAGTGATTCGTGAGATTTTGGTGCACCCATCACCCGAGCAGTATACATTGAACCCTATTTGCAGCCTTTCATCCCTCACCCCCTTGCCACTAGTTCCTCCTGAGTCCCTAAAGTCCATTATGTCATTCTTTTTTTTTTTTTAGACAGAGCCTTGTTCTGTCGCCCAGGCTGGAGTGCAGTGGCGCGATCTCGGTTCACTGCAAGCTCCGCCTCCCGGGTTCACGCCATTCTCCTGCCTCAGCCTCCTGAGTAGCTGGGACTACAGGCACCCGCCACCACACCTGGCTAATTTTTTGTATTTTTAGTAGAGACGGGGTTTCACCGTATTAGCCAGGATGGTCTCGATCTCCTGACCTTGTGATCTGCCAGCCTCGGCCTCCCAAAGTGCTGGGATTACAGGCGTGAGCCACCGCACCCGGCCCATTATGTCATTCTTATGCCCTTGCATCCTCATAGCTTAGCTCCCACTTATGAGTGACAACATACGATGTTTGGTTTTCCATTCCTGAGTTATTTCACTTAGAGTAATAGTCTCCAATCTCATCCAGGTCACTGCAAATGCCATTAATTCATTCCTATTTATGACTAAGTATTCCAGTGTGTGTGTGTGTGTGTGTGTGTGTGTGTGTGTATACACACATACATACATACATATCACAGTTTCTTTAGCCACTCGTTGA
This sequence comes from Homo sapiens, assembly GCF_000001405.40. Taxonomy (NCBI): domain Eukaryota; kingdom Metazoa; phylum Chordata; class Mammalia; order Primates; family Hominidae; genus Homo; species Homo sapiens. Next base: position 29,029,215 of record NC_000002.12, on the reverse strand, counting down.
TTGATGATGAGGCATTTGGGCTGTTTTCGCATTTTTGCAGCTGAGAATTGTGCTGCTATAAACATGCGTGAACAAGTATCTTTTTCATATGATGATACCCAATGGATACCCAGTAGTGGGATTGCAGGATCGAATGGTAGTTCTACCTTTACTTCTTTAAGGAATCTCCACACTGTTTTCCACAGTGGCTGTGCTAGTTTGCATTCCCACCAGCAGTGTAGAAGTGTTCCCTTTCACCACATCCACGCCAACATCTATTATTTTTTGGTTTTTTGATTATGGCCATTCTTGCAGGAGTAAGCAAAACCTTCCACTTCTCCACTGATATTCCTCATTTCAGCAAATGGCACTATTATTCACCATTGTTCAGGGTAAAAACTTAAGAGCATCTTCAGTTCGTCTTTGAAACCCTTACCACCTGCATCCTGTTGGCTCTGCCATCCTGTTGGCTGTTGGCCGAAGCCACCCACCACTCTCCAGTCTGAGCCTCCAGCCCCTCTTGCCTGGACTGTGGGGCAGCCATCATCTGCTGTTCCTCCTGCCTTTCTCTCTCACTACCAGTCCTGCGGCAGCCAGAGAGGCTTTTTTTTTTAATTATAAAGGCTAACACGCATGTAAAGAAACACTCAAACTCATTATTAATAAGCAGGGGGTCAAAGCACTCTAAAACAATGATGAGCTATCATTTTTACCCATTAGATGGATAAAAATTAGAAATCTAGAAATTGCCACATGCTGAGAGGCTGTGCAGGAGGGAGGCAGATGTGGACCCCAGGCAGGGCGGGGCTGCTGGAGCACACACATGCATCTGACCCACGGTCCTGCTCCTGGGCACGTCCGAGGAGGTGCCATGCAGCACAGTTTGCAGCAGGGGAGAATGGGAGGAACCGCAGGCACTACATCCCTCAGGGAGCACCCTCAGACGTGGGTACCCTACGAGAATGTCTGGCCTGGAGCTCACCCATCCAGGGTGGGCATGGCCTCTGGAGCCCTGACAGGTGCCACATGGTCTCCAGTTGGGGCGAGGATGGAGTGAGGGGTGGAGACCTACACACTCATCCAAATGGATGTGGTAGTAATAAGCCCTGAACTGAGGAGTGTGAGGAACTGGGCTCCAGCCCTAGCTTTTGAAGACAGTCAACCAGATCCTCTCGCTCTCCTGCTTAAAATCCTCCAACACCTCCTCATACTCCCACTAAGAAAACACTCCAATGACTTCCAATCACACACCATCCAAAATCCCAACTCCTGACCTTGGCCTAGGAGAACGTCTCTGACCTGGGCCTGCTGCCCACCCTCACCCCCACCCCTCACTCACTGTGCTCCACCAGGCTGGCCGTCCCCACCCTTGGACACCAAGCTTGTTCCCATCCAGTGGCCTCTGTGACATTTGCTTTGCCTGATCCTCAAAGAGCTGGCTCCGTGTAGCCGTTCAGCTCTCAACTCAAATGTCACTCTTAAAAAAGGTTCTCTGAACCCTCAGTCTAAAGCAGCCCCCCCACCAACTCCATTGCATTGCAGCCTTTACCTCCTGGGCTCAAGAGATCCTCCCACCTCAGCCCCTCAGTAGCTGGGACTACAAGTGTGCAACACCACCCCTAGCATTTTTTTTTTTTTTAAGTAGAGACAGGATCTTACTATGTTGCCCAGTCTCAACTCCTGGCCTCAAGCAATCCTCCTGCCTTGGCCTCCCAAAGTGCTGGGATTACAGGTATGAACAACCACATCCGGCCTATTTTTTCTTTATATCCCTGATATGTATCTAAAATTACCATAATTATTTATTTATTATCTGTCTCCCTCGACTAGGAAGTAAGCTCCAATACAATAGGGACTTCATTTTTCTTATTCACTGCTGTGTCCTTAATAAGAAAAAGAGTGATCATTAAATATCTCCAGAAAAAAAGGCCTGAATGTTCTTACAGAGAATGGTGCTGCGGTGAGGTAGAAACAAGAGCAACACTCAATGGGTAAGAGGGGAAATGGAAGACCAGAAAGTGGAGGCAGGGAGTAAGGACCCCTCCCTGAATGGGCTTGGCTTGATGGAAGGGATGGGACAAGAGCTGAAAGGAAAGGACATAGCTTCCGCCTACCTGCCTGTCCCTCTGCAGGATCCCAGGGAAGCTGAAGCTGTGTGCCCCAGGCCCCTCAGGGCTGGCTGGTTGGTTGCCTTCTCTGCCCCCAGGCCCCTGGCCCTGCCCTACCTGGTGTCCTGGTTGGAGTCCTGTGCCAGCCTCACCAGGTTGTGCACCAACATGTCTGTGCTGTCTCTGGTGCCCGAGAGAAGCTTCTCAGCGCCGATCTGCTCCAGCACAGCTGAGAGGTGCTCAGCCGCGTATTTCCGGATCAAGGGGTTCCGGTGGCTGAAAGGAAATCATGGCCCAGGGGTCAGTCTCAGGATAGTGGTGTGGGAGTCCCCAGGCTGGCAAACATGGATCTACCATTGCAGACCCATGCTTCATGCCAGCCAGGGGCTCCAAAAATACCTGTCCCCATGTGAGCTGAGGGGAATCTTTGAGGAAAGAGCACTCACTTTCTACGAACAGGGTGACAGCAACAACGGGAGAGGGAAGGAAAGTGACATGAAGCTACACGAGGTTCCCCAATACACCGTATGCATACCGTTCTTGGGAGCTTCCTGCACACACATCCTTCCTTTTGTCTAAGTACTCTTCTCCATCTTCCCTCCACCTAGAAAAGTCCTACCTAACCAGTGTCTCTTCTTCCTTCTTTCCCCAGCCCCACAGGCAGAATTAGACATCCCACCCACTGCCCAAGGTAGCGCTGTCTTTGTCCCCGGGGAAGTACAGTTGCACCCTTAGGGCCCCCATCAGGCTGCCAGCTCCCTGTGGGCGGGGACCAGGTTATCTGTCTCCCTTGACTAGGAAGTAACTCCAAAACAACAGGGGCTTCATTTTTCTTTTTCACTGCTGTATCCATAATGACGAAAAGAGTGATCATTAAGTATCTCCAGAAAAAAAAGGCCTGAATGTACAGAGAACAGTACTGGGGTGAGGCAGAAACAAGAGCAACACTCGATGGGCAGAGGGGAAATGGAAGGCAAGAAAGTGGAGGCAGGGAGTAAGGACTCCTTGCTGAATGGGCTTGGCTTGACGGAAGGGATGGGACTAGAGCTGAAGGACATAGCTTTCATCCACCTGCCTGTCCCTCTGCAGAATCCCAGGGAAGCTGAGCTGCATGTTCCAGGCCCCTCGGGGCTGGCTGGTTGCCTTCTCCGCCCCAGGCCCCTGGTGCTTCCCTACCTAGTGTCCTGGCTGGAGTCCTGATTCCCTCTCTGTGGCAACCCCACTGCCCTGCTGTGCCTGACACATCCCTGGTGCTTGGCAGGAGCTTAATGCATGTTTGCTGAACTGAACTGAGACAGGAGGGAGAAGAGGGATTCATGGGTGAGTTGGTGACCATAACAAGTGGAACCTGAGCTCTATAAGAGAAACCTGTCAGAATGGCACCTCTTTCTAAGGGCCTCTGTGTCCACACTCCATCAGGAAGCACTGACCCTTTTGTCCCCTAGAGTCTCACCCCAGTGGAACACAGTGGGGGACATCAGAACTCTCCCTACTCAGCATGGTCCATGGACCAGCAGCACTGACATCTGAACCAGAATCTGCATTTCAGCAAGATCCCAGCGGACTCAGATGCACAAGCCATGACCCTGGTTCTTGTTGACAGTGATCAATTGCCTGTCCCTCCATGCCAGCACCTTTTATCCATTATCTCACATCTACCTCATTAGCTACTATTATCATCACTATTCTGCAGGTGAGGAAGCTGAGCCAAAGGGAGGCATCCAGAAAAAAAAAATACAATTCATTTCTCCTAAGTTAATTATAGACACAGTAAGCACTCAGTGAATGTCAGGAATGGGCAGGCACCTTTCTAAGTGCGCTTTCGTGAGTCAATTCAATTACCTCTCATAACAACCTCATGAGGTAGACACCATTATTATCTCCATTTTACAGATGAGTCAACTGAGACACAGAGAAGTGAAGTGACAATCAGGATGTGAACCCAGGCAATGTGGCTGGGCAGGATCTCACCCTTTGCAGTATGCTATGGTGCAATTACTAAAGGTCTCCCAGCTGGTCCAACAGGCCCCTGGGGCTACTGAGAAACCTCACGCATCAGTGTAATGATCCACTTATGGGGTGGAGAGGCCTTTTGCTGTGCGGGAGAAGCAGCTTGGGAAATGCTTTTGGTTTTGCTTTTAGTGTGGGTGTTTAATGACAGGGAAAACAAATCTGCAGAAAGGCTCCAACAGGAACCCAATACCTTCCCCTCCCCAGGAGCAGGTCCAGTGGGGCAAGCTGGAGAATGAAATTTTGCGACTTTCTCTTCTCACTGGCCCACATTTCATCAGAAAGCAACACTGCTCCTGGGGGTGACAGGAGCTCCAGGGCCCATGCTCAGGCTGCCTCTGCAGCCCTGTCTCCCGGGGCGCTCCCACAGCCACGGTGTGCTCCCCAGCCTTGGAGTGCAACGGCCCCCTCCTCTTCCAGCCAGAGGTCCCTGCATTCCCCCGGCCTGGCCGATGAAAGGTTGGGAGAGAAGCCGGATGCCCGGCACAGGGAAGCAGGGGTCTTCCTCCCCCAGCTAAGTGGGAAGCACCTGCTGTGAAGTCTGAGATGGGCCCCTTCTTCACTCAGAACCTCTGACCCATCACCCTGTCCTCTAGCATCTCAAGGGACCCCCTGCAGCCTCACTTGCCTGCTTCCCTCCCTCCCTCCCTGCACCCTTCCCTCCTTCTTTCACATCCCAGGGCCTCTCCCCTTGCCTTACCTTCCCTGACTTCCCCGCCCCTCAGACAACAGGCAGCCACATACTAGACACCCGCCGAGGTGAGGACCACCAGGGAGCGGGCAAGGGTCACATTCTCCACCATAGCCCTCAGAGACTGGCCGGCTGCTCTCTGGATGAACTCGTTGGTGTCCGCCATCTTCTGCAGCAAGCAGCGGGCGATCTCCTCGGCCTCCTGGTCCATATTCTTCTTCAAGGCCTGGAAGAGGTCTCCCAAGGTGCTGATGGCCAGGTGAGACACCTTGGACCGCAGGTTGGTGACCTTGGAGAGAGGAGAGAGGCCCTCCAGGGTGCTGGACCCTGCCAAGGGCTCTGGGACGCATGGAAAATGGGCCCTGCACCACCCTCTTCCTCCACCCCCACCCTTCCCCTGACCTAGGCCTTGCCACGCTGGAAACAAAAACCCTGCAGCCACTCTGAGCAAAACTGTCCCATTTTGTTATCATCTCAATTATTAATCCCATCATTATCATGACCATAGGAAATGTGTACACTCTGTCTTCAAAGCACTTTTACAAAGAATGTCTGATTTGATCTTTGCAACTACCAAGTGAGAAATAGGTACCATGAGAAGCACAGTAGTGCTGACTGAGGCTCTAATTAACCTGGGAGAATGTAACTGTATTTTTTCTGGATGCCTCACTTTGCAGAGGAAACAGAGACCCCAGGCCACATGCAGGAAGGCAGATGCTCCCCACACAGCCCAGGCCCCTGTGTTAACAAAACAGCGTCCTCCGTATTCATCCCCACCCCACCCCCACTGGAGCAGCCCACTCCCAAGGGCAGGGCACAGCCTCCACATGAGAACAAATGTAGCCTCCTGCCTCTCTGGACCCAGCTAGACCAAGCCACAGAGCCATGAAAGAAACGCTTTGGGAAATACTACCACTGCCCTGGAGTTGGGGATCTGGCCCTGGACGCTCCATCCCTCCTTAGGCATTTTGAGTACAGAGGACCATGCAGGCCGACACATGGGCATGTGGGATTCTAATTGTTTCCATTCTCAAAGATTACAAATAAGGAAACCCTAGGCCTCAGTTTTCCAATCTGAGAAATGGGTGGCTACCTCCTACCTCAGTGGCTGAAGGCTGAGAAATAAGCAGGGATCCCCATGTCCCTGAAGCCACAGCCCCTCCACAGCTGCTAGCGGACTGCATCCAGCAGCTGCAGTGGGGCCAAATGCACAGCACACAGGCTGGGGGGCCTCACCTCCCCAGTCACCACCAAGCACACGTCGTGCAGCTTCCCGGTGAGGACCTCTGAGTGACAGGCTGCCAAGCGCTGGATGCTCACCAGACCCTTCTCCTTCATCTGCCTGAGAAGCAAGGCCAGGCCCTGTTGCAGAAGGGTGGAGAGGGAGGAGCCCCACCCCTCTGCAGACTAGGGGCCCCACATCACACACCATCACGGTCCACCGTCACCCGCAGCAGGGTGCCATTCCATGGCCTCAGAGCAGGGTTTCCCGGGGTAACACCCTGGCCTGGAATCCTAACCACTCAGTAAAAGCCAGTTTTATGTGGCCTCTGGCCAGCCCTCAGCTCTGACAGTGCTGTATGGAAGCCCACCCCCCTCCAGGACCTGTCTGGGTCCTTGACACAAAGCCAACACCTTCAATAAAAGGCACTTGAACAGGGAGGACTGAAGGCAGGGAGGGCTTCTCACAAATGTTCTGGAGGCCGAGGCATTGCTTTGCTCATGACTACGGTCCTGCATCCCCACAGTGGGAGGAGCGCTCGGAGCAGATTCAATTTCATTCAGAGAAATAAAGGGCTGCGGCCTTCCTGGGCCCCATGGTGTGGAATCAAATGCATCCTTGCCATGCCTGGCTTTGGTACACCACAGAGCCATGCATAGGCTGCTTGGAGGGTCGCAGGGCACACACATAAAGCCAGGAACACCACACACTCATGCACACACGCACATAAACACACATATCTATATGCATGCACAGTCCTCCCTCCAAACTGGCTTTTATGCTCCATGGTGCTGGAACCCCAGAGTGGGAGAGGAGGGAAGTTGAGGGGCAGAAGCTATTCTGCAACAGCCCCTGCTTCCGGCCAGAACACAGCACGTGGTGGAAGCATCTCCTCACCAGTCACTGCTGTTGAGGCACTGGAGTGCATCCCTCAGCCCCAGCTCCGGGTTCGAGAAAGGCCTCAACTCCTTACAGGCTCTAAGATCCATCTCCTCCTCTTCTTCCCATTCAGGAGACCCCAACGTGAGCACCGCAGGTAATGAGTTAGCTGCATTCACAAGAAAGAAACAGCAGGCTTCACGCAGCAGGACAGGCAAGAGCCCGAGTGGCCGCTCCTGCCACCGCTCACCATGGGAGGCCGTGCCACCACCCTGAGCCCACCTAACAGGGAGGGTGTACAAGTGGAAGTGCCTGGTGAGGCTAAGAACCCAGCGCCTGGGCCTCCCTCCCCAGGAGCCATGAAGACCTCCTAACTCTACCTTTGGCTGACTTTTCCCCTTCCTGCCCTTGCCAATGCGATTCTTATAAACAGATTTGTGATAAGCCACATGATGTCATGGGACTAAACCCCCCAGTCAGGGGGACACCTCCAAACCTGCCCCATCTGTGGTGGGGTGGGGCCCCCTGAGCCATCAATGAATGATCTCCCTACTCACTTTGGTGGCGGTCTAACCTCATTCCCAACCAGAGGCCTGTATGGTCAGCGCCTCTTCCTTCCCTCTTGCTATCCAGCCTTTTGTGAGGTTGCCCACAAGCAGGGAAGAGTCCAAGAGCAGATGGCTAGAGGAAGACAATGTAGCTAACTGGCACCCACACAGTCCAGATGCAGCCACACACACAGGGACCCACAACAAACAGGTTGTCGTGTTTTCTAGGCTCTCCTTCCCAGGAGACAGATGCTGAAATCATAAACTCCTAGGACAGGAAGGAGTCTTACAGGGCCTCTGTCTAGCCAAATGCCCTGATCACACAGTTGAGGTCCCAGAGGCCCAGAGAGGGTGGGGGACCCTCCACAGCCCCTCGGCTCCTCTGTCAGCACAGCCAGGACAAGAAGATCCCCCTCCCAGTCCAGAGCTCTCACTACCACATCTTCCTTCCTGGCGAGTTTTCTCCCGAGCTTCACCTCCACCAGGATGATTTTCACCACAGTACATCTGGAGGTCCTAGGCAAGTCTGAGTGGAGAGGAAGCCCTTTACTGAAAGTGGACGCACAGCCGGGCACAGTGGCTCACATCTGTAATCCCAGCACTTTGGGAGGCCAAGGCAGGCAGATCACCTGAGATCAGGAGTTCAAGACCAGCCTGCCCAACATGGTGAAACCCTGTCTTTACTAAAAATACAAAAATTAGCTGGGCATAGTGGTACATGCCTGTAATCCCAGATACTCGGGAGGCTGAGGCAGGAGAATCGCTTGAACTCGGGAAGCGTAGGTTGCAGTGAGCCGAGATCATGTCACTGCACTCCAGCCTGGGCGACAGAGTGAGACTCAGTCTCAGGGATTAAAAAAACAAACAAACAAAAAAAGCGGAGACACAAAGCCCTCACTCTTGGACTCTTTTTCAGCACTGCCCTTGGCAGGTGGAACAGTCTCTTAATCAGTTATTTCAGTCACTCTCTGAAAGGCAGGAGGTAATATCCAACCTCCCCATCCTTCCCTGGGCAGCACGGACGTGAATGACATGCTGTCTGCAACGCTCTCAAAAAGAGGCTCAGTCTTCTGGAGCGAGCAATACAGCCACCTGCCCTGCTGCCCCCCTTCCTCGCCTTCACCGCACCCCACAGGGGCATTTAGCATCCACTGGATTTAAAAACAAACCCACAAAAGGCACTGGCAGGGGGATTCCAGCCTCCAGTGTCTTGAGGGCTTGTGTGGCCTCCCCCTTTGCCCTACCTCTGACAGCTTTCCAGTCATGTTCGTATTTGTGCCTTCTGGTTCAGTCATTTCTATTTTTCACACACACAACAGAAGAAGTTGAACAGATCCTGAGCTGAGCTCACCTAAACTAACCCAGTCTCCCAAGAAAGGCCAGCTCCTTGTTGGAAACAGTGAGTTCCTCTTCAAAGGTCCCGCTTGTCCTCTATTTTCAAAGCTTAACTTCCTTGCCTCCTTGCCCCTAGTTACAATAAACAACTTTCCAGCCACTCCCAATCTGTAACCCACATCCATTCCCAATCTGTAACCCACATCAGTTCCCAATCTGTAACAACCCACATCTGTTCCTTATTTGAGGCCCTTAGTTCCAAAACTGCTCTTCCCACCGCTAGAGCCCCTGATCCATTTGAAGTAGCCAGTCGGGATCAGCTTAGATTGTGCTGTCCAACCCCAGCCAATGGGGACCGGACACAGTAGTAGGGACTGACTGCATTAGGGATAAAAACCCCTTCCCTCCTTTGTTGGGTGTGCTCTCGCAGTGACCAGAAGAATGAGCAGCAGCCTTCTGCGGAAGTAAATTTGCCTCGCTGAGAAATCCTTTATTTGAGTGCTCGTTTTCTTTGTGACTCCTAGCTCTTATTTCCAACACTCTCACAGGACATATTAGGAGAATCAGGAGGACAAGCAGGTTTACAATCCTGAAATACTATCATTTCCAGCCAAACTAAAAACCCAAACTATACAGCAAGTTAAGGGATTATTTGTTCACTGTGAGGAGAGAGGAAGAAGAGGAGGATTCAAATACAGCTTCCAGGATGGTTGTAAGAGGAGAATGTTGGCTTTTTTTCCTAACTCCAACAACATAACCTACTTGATTTTATTTCTACCTACCCGCTCACCTGCCAAACATAAACAGTTCAAATAAAGAGGGACAACAGACTATCCTGGGTCAAGCATCACTAGCCAAAGTCTCAGTCTAGTGATCTTTAGATGGTGGTACTATGGGGCACCATGACCTTGAGTGATCTTGGGTGGCTTTTACATCACTAGGTCTCAGTTCTGCTGCTATAAAATGAGTGGGTTGGCCAGGCATGGTGGCTCACACCTGTAATCCCAGCAATTTGGGAGGCTGAGGTGGGCGAATCACTTGAGGTCGAGAGTTCGAGACCAGCCTGGCCAATATGGTGAAACCCCATCTCTACTAAAATACAGAAATTAATCGGGCCATGGTGGCATGCACCCAGCTACTCAGGAGGCTGAGGCAAGATCACTTGAACCCAGGAGGCAGAGGTTGCAGTGAGCAGAGATCGCACCACTGCACTCCAGCCTGGGCGACAGAGTGAGACTCTGTCATAAAAAAAAAAAAAAAAAAAAAGAGTCAGTTGGGTTATATACATCAATAGTTCTCAGTATCAATCATATTATTCAATTACCACTTTCATGATTTTTGCCATATCTCTCAATAGCCTGTCCTTTCATTTACATTGCACTTCAAATCACAAAAGAATTTCAAATCCTAAAGAATTTAACTTTAAAGGGAACTTTCTGTCACTACCATAAACTAACATTGTTTGTCATAGAATATGATAAATATTTACAATGAAAGTAAAACAATGTTAAAACTCTAGCTAAAAAATTTGTAGGCAGCTTCTGTCTTTGAGCCTGAAAGAGGATCTCCTTGTTTAAAGAGAGAGGTGCCACCATGATTGCAAGTTTCCTGAGGCCTCCCCAGCAGCAGAAGCAACTATGGTTCCTGTACAGCCTGTGGAACTATGAACCAATTAAACCTCTTTTCTTTATAAAAAATAATAAAAATAAAAAAAGAGGTGCTAAAGACTAGCACCAAATTCAGACTTTCTACTTGAGACAATTGAAAGGATAGAAAGAGGATTGAAAAGGGAGATGAGCTGGCATTATTTACAGCATGGAAATTATGCTCTAGTCCATGATCATTTACCATCACATCCCACACTTACAGAAACTCTGAACCAAGCTGACTGTTTTTAAGTTTTTTTCAGTAGCAAAATCTTTCCAAATGAAATCTCACATGAATGCCCAGTATACAAAAAAAAAAAATGAGGCAACATAGAAGCTCCTCTGGTAGAATGGGGACAGAGCGTCCCCATGTCCCAGGCACGATTCCTGAGGTGCCCTGGTAGAAGCTCTGGACCCTCTGATTCCTGTCTGTAGCCAGTGCTGTCCAGCCCTGACATTTTATGAAGCAACAGGAAAGAAACCGAGGTCTTCCCCAATCCTCTCATCCTCTTTCTGCTGTTCACAGCTGCTTCCTTGGGTGCTATTGTCTAGTGTCTTTGGCCCTCGTGCACTGGTCACTCCTCCGGACATGTCACACAGGCTGAGGACATCACAACTCCAGTTGTGACATCCTGGGTCCCAAGCCCAGCCTGTAGACAATGATGAGTCCCTGACACTGTTTCTCTCTCTGGCAAGGCAACCACCACCCCAGGCTGCCTCCTGGTCTAACATGGACAAGGGGCGGAAGCAAAGCCACCGAGGTCACCTCTGCCATGCCTCAGGGCATCCTGAGGCAGCATGGGCAGAGGGACACGTGTGCCTGCCAGTCGGGCCTGCCCACCTGAGGCGTGGCGGGCAAAGCGGGGCTCCTGCCGGCTGATGGGGATGCTGGGCAGGGAGGCCCGGCTGGCCCACTTCCTCAGGATGATGCTGACGTCGTTTCTGCATGGGCCGCTCAGCCTAGTGGGCACAGACAGTGTCCCGCTGCCCCGGAGGGGAAGGAGGCCTGTGGACACAGAGAAAGTCCTAGGACTAGGCAGGTCTGTTTTCCCCTGGCCTCAATGTCCTCCTTTGAAAATGGACCCATGGCTGGCCAAAGTAGCTCATGCCAGTACCCCCAACATGTTGGGAGTCCGAGGTAGGAGGATGGCTTGAGGCCAGGAGTTCAAGACCAGCCTGGGCAACATAGGGAGATGCCCATCTCTACAGAAAATTTAAAAGAAATTAGCCAAGCATGGTAGCACACGTCTGTATTTCCCACTACTTGGGAGGCTGAGGTGGGAGGATCCCTTGAGCCCAAGAGTTTGAGGCTGTGGTGAGCTGTGATTGTGTCACTGCCCTTTAGCCTGGGCCACAGAGTGAGGCTCCATCTCTAAATAAATACATAAATACTAATAAAAATTTTAAAAAAGAAAATGGGCCCATCAGCAGGCTATGAGAGAGTGGACTCAGCTCCCCAGGCCTGAGCAAATCCCACACCAGGCACCCAGTACCTTCCTTCATGAAGGCTCTCTGGGAGCCCAGGCACTGGGAAGTGAGCTCCTGCCCTGTCCTGGGCTCCTCCAGCCTCCGAAGCAGCTCCATCTCCTTCATCTGCTTCAGCTGCATCTTCTCCCGGGCAGACTTGGAGATGGTGACTTGGATCTGGCACAAGGTCAAGGCAAACTCTATTAACCTCCCATTCATTCAATCATCAACATTCAATCATCAAAAATGTTTCTACTGTGTGCCAATTGCTGTCCTGGAAGTGAACAAAAAAGACAAACTCCTTGCACCTTAAGAGCTTTGAAGTGTGGGGGAGAGACAACAAACAGACCAAATGCTGATATCAGGCAGTATGTGCTGAAAGAAAAGTAAGGAGACAGAGATGATAGTGGCTTTTAGCCTAGAAGGTCCCTAGGGACTCCCCGAGGAGGTGAAGCTTAAGTGGAGACAGAAATAAAGGAAGGAGACCAGCCCCACAGATTTCTAGGAGAGAAGTGTTTGAAGCAGAGGGAGTGAGTGCAAAAGCTCTGAGGCCGGGTGTGCTTGGCTGGTTGGGGACAGTCAGGGGGTGGACACTGGCTGAACTCTCTGAGTCAGAGAAGTGACAGGACACAAGATCAGGCAGGGGGCAGGATCCACATCACCCGGGCCAAGGAAAGGACTGGGCTTCTCCTCTGAAGGACACAGGAAGCCGTTTAAGGTTTTGAGCAGAGGAGTGACATGATCTGCCTTCCACTGGTGGGGGCTGTCTCTAAGTGTTGTTTTTTATAATTTTTTATTTTGAAATAGTTTAAGACGCAAGAACAACTCGTAAGTTGTCAAAATAGAACCAAGACTTCCTGTGTTCCCTTCACCCTTCCCCAGTGATAATATCTTCCACATCCACAGAACGTTCTAACTTCCATTTCTCTAAGGCTCATGCCAGCTGCTGCACGGGAAGGGTCTGGAGCTAGCCTCACACTGGAAGCAGGAAGAGTGTTTAGGAGGCAGCTGAACATCCAATCAAGAGGTGGTGGGGCTTGGACGGCGATGGGGATGGTGGGGTGGGCAGATTCTGGACATGCTTCTCAGGTGCAGCTCACTCTCTTCGCTGATATATGAGGTGCGGGGCGAGAGAGGAAGAGAGGAGCCAAGGACGCCCGAGGTGGTTGACCTGAGCCACTGGAAGGCTGGAGTTGAGTGGGCCCCTGGGGAGAGAGGAGGTTTTCTGAGGTGAGCATTCAAGGGTTGAGTTTTAGACACAGTCAGTTGGAAGTATAATTAGGCACTTAAGCAGAGATATTGAGCAGCAGCTAAACATGTTAGTCTGGAGGTCAAGGGAAGGTCTAGGCTGGCGAGGGAGGTGTGGGAGTCCTCAGCATAGAGATGGTACTTAATGTCTGGACTGGATGAGGACCTAGCGGGTCAGTATAAATAGACGAGAGGCCAGAGGGCTGAGCGCTGGGGGAGTTCCAGCATCCAGAGGCCGGGGAGATGAGGAGGAGGCAGCCAAGAAGGGCTGGGAAGGAGCTGCCTTTCACGTAGGCAGGACCAAAAAAGAGCCACCCCTCACCCCTATCCCTGGCTGGAGAATTCAAGGATGAGACACAAGTCGTATCAAAAGCTGCGATGGGGTCAAGGTAGACAAGGACTAACCGTGGCTGCATTTGGGAAGATGAAGGTCATTGGCAACTCCAATGTGGGCAGTTTCAGTGGGGAGTGTGGACTAATGCCTGTCAGGAGTGGACAAAGGAGAGAAGAGAGACACGGCAATCATTTTCTCTTGGTTTTGTTCCGCTTTCTTAAAATGAAAGAGGTAACAGAGAGCTAACATGCTGATAGCAATGATCCTGTTTCAAGGAGAATATTGTTGATGCCAGAGAGGGAACAAGTGTTGGAACTGAAGGATTAGCTGGATTGAGCAGAACAGCAGGAGAAGGTGGTGAGCCAATGGGATGCTTGAAATTGAGACCATGGTGGGGGGACACACTTTAGAATGCCAAGGCCTACGATGTGGCCACAGGAGGGAGCGCAGAAGTGGGGTGGAGGATCAGCTCGTTTCGCTGCACTGAATCATTGTTTGTGTTTCCTGTTCTGTGGTCCTCTCTACAGTGGGAGGGTTGTGGTGCTGATTTAACAGTCACCCAGTCTCTAACAGAGAATATGCACCCAGGAGGCCTTCAAGATATGCTTCTTGACCTGGAATGTTCTGTCTCAAAGAATGAGCACAGGCTCCTCACTACAGTGACTCCCCAAGCTTCACTAAATTCGTTCCAACCAGGGAAGAGACCACCTTCCAAGGTCACCTGAGAAGTGTGAGGTATTCGCCAGTCCCTGGAGCACAGCCCGTGGCTGATCAGCCCTGAGTCAGCTGCCTCTCATTTGCTATCTTGGGTGTTAGTTCAAACCACGCAGCGCAGTTCACCTAAGGCTTCCTGCTCTCTCCCCACGTCCGGCTTCCTCGTGAGCCCTGTGCAACCTCCCCGTCCTCCTTCCTTCCTCCCTCCTACCCCTTCAGCAACCCTCTGCAGTCTTCCCTGCACCTAGTTCCCCACCCCGCTTCTGACCCCCATCCTTTCTCTTCCTTTCTTCAGCCTTCACCCCAACCCCGTCTGCAGGTTCTGGCCTTTAGTACTTGGGTGGCTGCCTCGGGCTCTCCTTGCTCTGCTCTGTGGCTGGTCCCACTCTTGAATACTTCAGACACTTGCTTGCCTTCCTGCAGCCTGCGGTCCACTCCAGCCCCACTTCCTCCTCCTCCCGCTCCCCAGGTACCTTGGTGCCGATCTCCTTCTGGTCCTCTTCTTTCAGCGGAGGGCAGGCTTCTCTGGCACAGTCAAAGGAGAAGGCTGTCAGCGTGGGAGCAGACTGAGAAAAAGGCAGGGCAGGCTTCTTGGCAGCGGCAGGCCTGTCTCTGATGGGTGAGGCCAAAGGTTTTGGCTCTGAGGGGTTGAGAACAGGGGTGGAGCTGAAGACACCCAGGTCACTGCTGAGCTCACTGACCCTGTGGCTGGCTCAATTCTACTGCTAAGCCCCACACCCTCAATTCTTCCTCAATGGAGCAAGACCTGAGTTAGGTTTACTGTACAGGGCAGCACTGGCAGGCATGAGACAGACTACCTGTGGACCAGCATCACCCTCCATTCGTTCATTCACTGCACACTTTATTCCAAGATAGGTGTGGGATTGGGGAGGCTGGGCGGGAAACAGGGCCAGATGTGTTATCCAGGAGATGTAAGACATTTCCTGAGAATATAAGTAAGTGTATCTGTCCTGGGAGGTACGTACGGCAGGAAAAGAAAAAGCAAAATGGGCCCACCAATCCTTTCATATGACCATGGGCTTGCCTGAAAGCATGACGCAGCAGGAAAGGGCAGAGTTGCCAGGACCAGAGATCTAACACTAGTCCAGTCTCATTTCACAGACGGAAAAGCTGAGAGCCAGTGTGATGGTTAATGTTAGGTGCCATCTGGATTGGATGCTTACATAGCTGGTCAAGTATTGTTTCTGGGTGTGTCTGTGAAGGAGCTGCCAGAGGAGATCGACCTTTGAGTCAGTGGACTGGGAGAGGAGGACCCATCCTCAGTGTGGGTGGGCACCATCCAATCAGCTGCTAGCTGCCATCGCAGCTAGAACTAAGCAGGTGGAAGAAGGTGGGATCACCTTGCTTGCCGGGTCTTCTGGCTGCCTGCTTTCTCCCCTGCTGGACGCTTCCTTCTACTCCTCCTGCCCTTAAACATCAGACTCCAGGTTCTTTGGCCTTTGGACTCTGAGACTTGCACCAGTGGCTTGCCAGGGGCTCTCGGACTTTTGGTCACAGACTGAAGGCTGCACTGTTGGCGTCCCTGGTTTGAGGCTTTCGAACTTGGACTGAGCCACTACCAGCCTCTCTCTTCCCCAGCTTGCAGATGGCCGCCTGTGGGACTTCACCTTGTAATCGTGTGAGCCAATTCTCCCTAATAAACTCCTTTATATACAGACATATATCCTACTAGTTCTGTCCCTCTGGAGAACCCTGACTAATACAGCCAGTAACCTTCGAATGCTCTTGGGATGGATAAAATACCCGTTCACTTCCACTTGATGGCATCAAATCCACAGTATTGCTTTGTCATTCATATCTTCCCCATCAGCGGATTTTAAAGGTACATTTCTCATTATGAAGGCAGGGCTCAAACAGGTTCATTCATTTTCTGCCACCCACAGGGTTTGGAGCTCACTGTCCTTGGGTGAACCTGCAAGTCAGGGGTCTGCTGAGATGGGGCCACCAGCTGAGGCTGCCTGAGGCTGGAAAAGGCATCTTACCTCTGGGGCCCGTGCAGAGCTCCCAGGTCACCCAGGTCCTCTGCCCAGGCCATGTCTTCTGCAAAGGATTCCTCTGCTTGGTGCAGGGAGAAGGATCAAGGGCCAAGGGGGAAGAGGGGCTTTGAAGCCTCATCTGCCCAGAGGTAAGAGGCAGAGCAGAGGGCACATGTGGTAGGCACCACCTGGCCAGGGCAAGGACTGCAGGAATGCCACAGATGTGAGGAAGCCCCCAGCTTCAGACAAGACCCTGTGAGCCCCTACCATGTGCTAGGCATGTTGCACACAGAGGGCAGTGTCAGCCCAGTTGCCAGCTGGAGGGCAGAGAGCCCTTTAAGGACTTAACTATTTTTTATGTCACTTCTTCACCTCCACCCCAAAGGGATGCCCTGGAAAGCCCTGTCTGAGCAGCCTGCCCCTGCCACAGGTCCCTGGTGACCTGGTTCTCAAGCAGCAAGCTGGAGAGCCAGGGGAGGAAGTGGTTACTGACTGGGGTCTCCTGG
The DNA here is from genome assembly GCF_000001405.40 of Homo sapiens. Classification (NCBI taxonomy): domain Eukaryota; kingdom Metazoa; phylum Chordata; class Mammalia; order Primates; family Hominidae; genus Homo; species Homo sapiens. The sequence continues at coordinate 29,012,531 of NC_000002.12, read as the reverse complement.
CCCAACCCCCACACCAGCGTCCTCCGGGTTAGCTCTTAAGGTCACTCAGGGTGCCGGTGCATTTCGCCACAGACTGCCTGAGCTCACCCTGCTGCAGCCTGGCCCGGGAGCAGGGGAGAAGCAGCTGCCGCAGAGGTTTCTTGTGCCAGGTCCAGCTTTGTGTCTTGATCCCAGGGCCTCTTGGGCAACAGCCACCCCCCTTCGCCAACTGCCCCACCAGCTGAGCTGATTAGCAGAGTGACCTGCCAGGAAGCTGGTCCTGGGGAGGCCACCCCTCCTGCCGGGCAGTAGAGCGGCTGCCTCCAACTCCTCCCCACCCTGGCCTGGGTTCGGGGTGTTCTGCTCCCCAACCCTGCAGCAGAGGCTCAGCTTCCATCCACCCGTCCCACCTCCCCATAGAGTTCAATCCAGGAAGGATCCCTCCTCCCTCTTTAAAGGCCTCCTACCCTGCCCTGTCCCCTCTCCTCGCCTCAATCCTGTGCTGGCCCTATATCCTGACAGCTAAAGCTCCTGGGGCCAGCTGGCTGAGGTTTGTGGGCTCTGGTTTACCCTCTCATTCTCTAGGTGAGGAATACTCTCTCTACTTGCTTAACACACCGCAAGGGGCAGCTGCTTGATGTGTCAAGACCCCAGCTTTGGAGCCGTGGAAACTTGGCTGCAAGCCTGATGGGGCTCAGCGACCAGGGAGGACATCCTGCTCACAGAGCCTTCGTGTGCCAGCTCGTCTGTCACACACGGCCAGAATTGTCTCTCTTATCGAGGCCGTGGCAAGCTGCACAAGCTGGTGTACGTCATCACACCTGACGTACCAGAGCAGGTGTCAATAAATGTCACTTCTCTTCCACACCTCGCCCGGGCCCGCTGCCACCCTCCGGTTAGACCTCCGGTGACTTCAGCTTCCTGCTGTGAAATGAAGGGCCCAGACACAAGAGCTCTCAGATCTCCTCTGGCCCTAATTCTGTTTCCCTGACCCAGCCCAGGAATGTAGAGAGTCAAATAACAAAGGGAGGTGTGCATGGAAGATACGTACCCAGAGATGCAGGGGTCTTCTCCCGAGGCCCACTCCCCCGAGCCAATCTTAAAAGAACGGGGGAGAGAAAAGCATCATGAGGGATGGCCAGCCAGAGACACTGCTGGGGGAGCCCAGGGTGGCTCCAGGATGGGGCAATGGCCGAGATGGGGGACAGAGGGGACGGCACTGTTATCCCTGCAGAGGCTCTTGGCCCAGGATTCAAGCTGCAGGAGATACAGCTCCCTCTGCAAACACAAGGGCAGGCTGACCACCAGGCCAGGTTCAGCCCCATTTCCTGGCAGTGCAGCTCGCGCATTCCCCAGGAGGCTGACACCCACACAGAAACTGCTGACTTAAAGGAAGCCCCCACCCTCCCGCTGTGCTGCTTGGGCCTGTGGAGTTGACAGCAGCTGCAGTAAACAAGGGTAAACTGCCTCCCAGCTTAGACAGCACTGAGCTCAAGTTCTCCAAGCTGCCCCAACCCCGTGAGAGCTCAGTGACCCCTAAATAGTCCCACTCGTGATTGTAATCCCCATCCCAGGGCCTGGGGGGCGGAGCTGATCCCCTTTGCTGTGGCAGGAAGTCACCACTGTTTTGTACCAGAAGCTCAATCCCAATTACCCACAGGAGGGGGAAGACAGTGGCATCCCTGGCACTGGTTTTAATTGTAATTTCTTAAGTTGGAAGCACCATTTACTTATTCAACAGATATTTACTGAAGACCTACTATGTGTCAAGCACTATTCTAGACACTGGGAATGGAGCATCAATAAGACATGACACTCCCCGCCCTCCGGGAGCTCAGGTTCCCATGGAGACCAGCCCTGCAGCGTCCTACATGGCTTTCCCTTCTCGGTGGACATCAGGACCCACTGGGGGGCTGACAGAGTAACAAGCCACAGCAACAGGTCAGGAACACAATATCCCACACACTGGCCTCAGAGGATCACAGTCCAGGCCGGGCTGCAGGAGGGGCGGTAGGACAGCCCCCCTCAGTGCCTGCCTGGATGCAGGGGAACCCTGATCCTTGGGGACTGTGGAGGTCAGGGGAGTCCACAGGAGGAGCGGAGCTTCAACCTGGGCGTAGATCAGCCGGGATTCGCCATTGCTCCCAGGGCCAGGCCCAGCCTCTTGGGTCTGGACCCACAGGGAGGGATCGTGTGGGCTGGAGATAGTAAGCGAATGCTCCAGGGCACCCCTGACCTGGGGAGCTCGCCCACTAGGCCTTTGCCATTGTAACCCACCACTGCTTAACCACTGCCCAACGGCACTAAGAGGATTGGAGGCGGGCGGGGAGGGGAAGTGGAGCATCAAAGTCCACACAGTTGCCCTTGGCTTCTATGAGCTCATGGAGGTCCCAGGCTGCCTGAGGTGAGCACAGGATGCCAAAAACCCCAATGCTTATGCCTCGGCTTTGCCCCTGGGGCCCTGAGCTGCAGCCTCCCCCGCTCTGCGCCCCCCCAACACACACACACACACACACACACACACCTGCTCTGAGCAAGGGATTTGGCCTCAGAGGACTTGGCGCAGCTTCTCTTAAGCTGTGGACCCTGGGGAAGCCTCTTGCCCTCCCCTTCTCTAGCGACCCCACAGCAGAAAGGACTGAGGCCAAGACAGGCCATGCCGATCAGGGCCCCTGCCTTCCTGCACGTGGCAGCCCCGCCCCACCCTGTGCGAACCTCACAGAAAACCCACCACCGCTCAGGCTCCTCCGCAGGCCCCAAGGAGGTGGGTGGAGCAGGAGCAGCAAAGCCCTGTTTCCAGCAAGAGCCCCTCCCGGCTCCAACCCAAACGTCTAAGCATGTCCAAGAGTGGCCTCAGCACTGTCCCCAGCACCTGCCTCTTCTCCTATGCCCTGTCTCCAAGAAGGGTGCCAGTATCTGTCCAGTGGCTGAAGCCAGGAACCCCGGCATGGTCTCAGCTCCCCCATCTTCAGCCCACATCTACCCCGTGGCTTAGCCCTGCCATTCATCCCGCCCCGCCCCCACCTCTGCATCCTCAGCCCACAGACTCCCTGCCTCTGCCCTGCTCAGCCACCCTTTGCCTTCTCCCCGGATTCCTGCAGCAGCCCCACCTCCATCTACACGGTCCATGCCACTCTGAGGTTGCCAACATGGCCTTTCTAAGTCACAGCAGATGCCACTTTCACACCCGAAAGCCTTTGGTGGCACCTCCTTACAGGAGGATGAAGCTCCCACTTCTCAGTTGGCACACAGGCCCTTCACCCCCACCCCGCAGGCTGTCACGCAAGGATGCAGGGGCTCACTCCTCCTTCCGTCTCTCCCTCTTCCACCTCCATCTCCATCTCGCAAGTGTGCCCTCATCCTGCCCTGAGAAGTCTGCCTGGCATGATTCAGATCTCTTTCTCCTGGGTCACCAACATGACAGGCAGCCTTCGCCTACGCACCCACCTCTCTGAACTTCACCTTGATGACTTCCTGGCTGGAGCACACAGATTGTGACCTATGCACCTGGCACATAGTAGGTGCTTAACAGCTTTTAGGTGAGTAAACGGACAGATGGATGACTGAAATGGTAATAGAGCCTCCATCCCCTCCATTGGCTAGAGAGCCCCACATTGTCAACAAAGGGAAATCCATGTCACAAACCAAACAGGAAAGGACAGATATTTATTACGGAACTAATCCATGCCAGGTACCAATCCTGGCCCCACAGAAGCCACAGAGGTTTTTGACATATGGCCCCTGCCCTGTGGTGCTCCAAGTTAAAGAACAGAATGAGGTTTAAATAAAATAGGCTGGCCAGGTGCGGTGGCTTCTACCTGTAATCCCAGCACTTTGGGAGGCCGAGGTGGGCAGATCACCTGAGATCAGGAGTTCAGGACAAGCCTGGGCAACATGGTGAAAGCCCAGCTCTACTAAAAATACAAAAATTAGCCGGGCCTGGTGGTGCATGTCTGTAATCCTAGCTACTTGGGAGGCTGAGGCAGAAGAATTACTAGAACCAGGGAGGCAGAGGTTACAATAAGCAGAGATCGTGCCACTGCACTCCAGCCTGGGTAACAGAGCAAGACTCCATCTCAAAAAAATATATATATTTTTAATTGGCTGGGTGCAGTGGCTCACGCCTGTAATCCCAGCACTTTGGGAAGCCAAAGTGGGCAGATCACCTAAGGTCAGGAGTTCAAGACCAGCCTAACCAATGTGATGAAACTGCAGCTCTACTAAAATTACAAAATGTAGCCAGGCATGGTGGCATGCTCCTGTAGTCTCAGCTACTCGGGAGGCTGCGACAGAAGAATTGCTTGAACCCAGGAGGCAGAGGTTGCAGTGAGCCAAGATCGTGCCACTGCACTCCAGCCTGGGTGACAGAGTGAGACTCCATCTCAAAAAATAATAACAATAAAAAATAAAAAACAAATAAATAAAACAAAATAAATAAACAAAATAAATTTAAATAATCAAGATTTGCTTATTTTGTTTAATGGAAGGGAGGGGCTGAGGCAGTCCCTGGGCTGGATGCCTGTGGACAATGCAGAGAAGACCACTTCCCCTCCTTGCCGCCCTTTAAAGGGAGAGTAGGTAGACATGGAACAGTGGAGATGAAATGAATGGGTGGGGAAAGGGGTGAGAGGCTGTTGGGGTTGCAGAGATGGACGAGGGGAAGCACCATGTCCCCTCGTAAATGGATGGATGGATGAGTGAAATGGTAATAGGTCCTCAGGGTCTGGAGGGGTAAGAAGGCCCCACAGAACAAGCACTGGGGGACAGCGGGGAGGAACTGTGGGGTCGTGGGCTGGATGGACCCTGATTGTCAGGCCAAGGAGACTCAGCATTATGCGCCTGGGTCCTTGACACAAAGGACCCGCCATTCATTCAATCAGGAATGTCAATACAGGCAAAGGGCCTGCAAGAGGTGTGCAAGGTGGCGGGGGAAGCAGGAAAATGAAAGATGGGGATGGAGCGCACAGGGCTGCAAGGATACTGGCTAGGCACTATTAGGGGAGGTCAAGAAGGAAGCGGAAGTACAAACCAAGAGGGAAAGGCAGGGGCAAGAAAGGGGTGGAGCTTTCATGGCTGTTAAGAAAGACTTGGGGGCTATGGAAATGTGTTGGAGCAGGAGGCACTAGGAGCAAGGGTCAAAGATGACACTGAGACTTGAAGGCCAAGAAGAAGGTCTGCACCTTGACAGCAATGAGGAGGTCTTGGGAGGGGGTGGTTTGGGGAAACACGAGGTGGTCCTTGTTGCCATGATGGTGGCACAACCTCCCTGTCTCTCCCTCTGGTGCTGGATCACATCAGCCAGGAGAAACTGGAGATGCCCAACAGAAAGATGGAAACCCGGAGCCTGACCTGTGGATGGTTCCAGGGCTAGAGCAGGAGATGTGAACTCACCCACATTCCACCATCTGGAAGACTTGGGCACACATAAGGGCCCCAGGAGAAAACAGGAGATGGGGGCAAACAGTCCTGGAACAATTTTGGGAATGGCAGAACTTAGAAATGGAAGAGGGCACACAGGAAGCTGCCTGGAAGGTCGAGAAGCAGGTATAAAGTCAGGATGCAGAAAAAGAAGAAAAATTCAAGGGCCATCCATGGTTCAAATGATGCAAAAAAGTCAAGAGTAAAGAGATAAGAGGAAAGGCCACAGGTCTGGGGCCAGTGAGTCATGAGAGGCACAGATAAGGCTGCTCCGAGGGGAGGAAGAGGCCAGCGTCTGAGTGGGAAAGGGGAGGACGTGTGCAATGGTGAGGAGGCGGAGGTCAGTGGAGCAAGCTGCTGTCTGAGGAGGCTGACGGTGAAAACTGAATAGAGAACTCGAATCCAGGAGCAGGTACATGGACGGGTCTCTATAACCCACAGGGTCGGAGAAAGACATGAATATGTGTGTGCACAGAGGGAAGGCACCAGGGAGATGGAGGGAATGAGGAAGTGTGAGAAAAATGGAAGAATCCAAGTCATCAGGCCCCAAGAAACGGGAGGGAAGCAGTCACAGCAGGAACTGGATTGTGACTCTACTGAAGGAGCCAGGCCCATAGGCCCTGAGCACACGCACACACACTCCACACACATGCACTCACACATACACATGCACTCACACACAGATACACATGCACACACATGCACACACACAGATACACATGAACACACATGCACTCACACACACGCACTCACACACATACACATGCACACACATGCACTCACACATACACACATACACACACATGCACACACTCCACACACAGGCACTCACACACACACATGCACACATACATGCACACATATACACTCCACACACATGCACACACACTCCACAAATGGCTTCACACACAGTCACACACACAAACACATGCACTCACACACATGCACACACATGTGGTCACACATGCTCACACATGTACTTACGCACATGCATGCTCTCACACACATGCACACACATATGCACTCCACACACATGCACCCCACACACACACACGTGCTCTCACACATACACATACACACACACTCCACACATGCACTCACATACATATGGTCTCACACACACACGCACACATACACACCCTACACATGCACTCATACGGTCTCACACACAAATACACATATGCACACATACCCCACACACACACTCCACACACATGCACTTACACACACGCACTCACACACATACACATGCACTCACAACATGCACTGACACATATGCACACACATGCACTGACACATACACATGCACACACATGCACTCACACACATGCACTCATACACATGCACACACAGATACTCCACACATGTACTCACACACACACATACACACATATATGTGCTCACACACATGCACACATGCACTCACACATGCACGCACTCCACACATGCACTCACATGCATGCTCACACATGCATGCCCTCACACACATACACACATGCACACACACTCCACACATGCACTCACATGCATGCTCACACATGCATGCCCTCACACACATACACACATGCACACACACTCCACACACATGAACACACACCACACATGGCTTCACACACGTAGTTACACAAACACATGCACTCACACACATGCACACATGCACACACATGCAGTCACACATGCTCTCACATACATGCACTCACGCACATGCATGCTCTCACACACGCACACACACACTCCACATACATGCACCCACATACATGCACGTTCTCACACATACGCTCCACACATGCACACACACGGTCTCACACACACATGCACACATACCCCACACACACACATGCACACACACACATATGCACACACACTCCACACACATGCACTCACACACATGGTCCCACACACATATACACACATGCACACATACCCACACACATGCACACACACACTGCACACATATGCCCTTACACATGCACTCACACACAACATGCACTCACACACATACACATGCACACACACCCATACACATGCACTCACAACATGCACTCACACATACACATGCACACACATGCACTCACACACATACACATGCACACACATGCACTCACATACATGCACTCACACATACACATGCACACACATGCACTCACACACATACACACATGCACTCACACACATACACATGCACACACATGCACACACATGCACTCACACACGTACACATGCACACACATGCACTCACACATGTACACATACACTCCACACACATGCACACACAACTCCACACAGATGCACTCATACACATACATGCACACACATACTCCACACATGCACTCAGACACACTCAGACACATACTCTTGCACTCATGCACACACACACTCAGACACACACACACATGCATGCACTCACACATATACACATACTCAGACACACACACTCTTGTACTCACATACATGCATATACTCACATATACATGCACACATACACACTCATACACATACACTCACACATACCTGCAGGCACTCATACATGTGTGCACACACAAAGACACTCAGACACACTCACTCTCACACACACGTGCTCTGACATCACTCTGGACTGACCACGGGGATGTTGCTGGCCATCTAGAGCACTGTCTTACTTACAAGCCATAACCCGATTTATGCCAACACAAAGATCCTCTTCCCCACTTGTTTGTGGGATATGAAGACCCCTTTTCAAGTCCAAAAGTTTGTGGACTGTCCCCCATACACATGATACTGGTTGTATTTTTAGTATCCATCAATTAAGAAAATATTTAATTACAAAGAGCTGCCATGAACTCAATCATGCTTTAAAATAGTGTTTTATTCATAGCCGGGCACGGTGTCTCACACCTATAATCCCAGCACTTTGGGAGGCCAAGGAGGGCAGATCACCTGAGGTCAGGAGTTTCAAGACCAGCCTGGCCAACATGCTGAAACCCGTCTCTACTAAAAATACAAAAATTAGCAGGGCATGGTGGTGGGTGCCTGTAATCCCAGCTACTCAGGAGAATCGCTTGAACCCGGGAGGCGGAGGTTGCAGTGAGTTGAGATCACACCACTGCACTCCAGCCTGGGCGACAGAGTGAGACTCCATCTCAAAATTATATATATGAGATAAAATAATTAGTGTTTTATTCATTACTCCGGCAACCTCATCCACTAAGGCACTGGGAGAAGACAGAGGCTGGAGACATTGTTCGTGATGCCATTGACCCAGCCTGCCGGAGCCAAGAGGCAGAGAAGCCCCGGCAACCATGCTGGGACCTCCCTAGGTCTGTGGCTCATGGGTGGAGCCCCCAGCCCTTTCCCTGCCTGGTGTCCCAAGAACTCTGCCACAGCATGGAGGGTCAGCCACAAGGAGCCCCAGTGGATCTCAGGGGGACAGAGGGAGAGAAGTCAGCAAGGAAGGTTTGACTTGGAGCTCTTACCGCGTGCGTGGGGCCCTCAGGCCTGTGAGGACTCCCTGGCCTGGAGGTAACGGGCTGGGAAGGGAGCCAGGCACACGGGAGGGGGTCGCTGCAACCGTCCTGGCCTTTGGGATGGGTGGGATCACGATGGCGCCCAGGGACTTCTGCATCTTCTCATCATTGCAGTGCAGGTATTGCCAGGAGATCTGCGCCTGGGAGCAGAGGCGGGACAGGGGTCTGGCCTATGGCAACATCCCATGGTGAATGCTCACCTCCAGGCACCTCACACAGTGTGGGACCTGCTGTCTCTTTTCAGCCACACCACCCTGGGACCCCCAGAAGCCTGACTGCTTCCTTACCACTCCTGGTGAGGAGACTGGCAAGCCCTTTTGTGACTATTATTATTCGTTTTTCTGTTCTCATTTCAGAAAAATCCTAGAACATCAGAGCTGGAAGGACCTTCAAACACATCTGGGCCAAACCTCTATTTTCATAGATGTGCAAACTGGGGCCCAAAGAGGGGTGTGACTTGCACAAGGTCACACAGCCAGTGAGGGGCAAACAGAAACCAAGGCCCAAATCTGAGTCCTAGCCCAGCATTCTTTGCCACACTCTTGCTTAAAATGGAGAGGGCCAGAAAGCAGGAGGAATTCTGGAACATTTAGACCAGAGAAGGCCTAGGGGACCACCAGTTCTAGGACAAAGGTCATGCAGCCTCTGGCACAGCCACCCAGAGCCCCCAGGCCAGCTATGGAGGTTTGAGATGCTGGGGGAGGTGGTGAAATGAGCACCTTGAGCCTCTCCCAGTGCTGTCCCTATCCTCACTGCAGACCTCAAGACACCTCCAGGGATGCTCAGGGCATGGAGTCAGGGGTTGGTGGAGGCTAGAAAGAAAGGCAGGAGGAAGGGAGGGCAAGAAGCTGAGGACCAGACTCACAGCAGTCGAACCACCTTACCTCCTGAGCACCGGGTCTCAACTCGTGAGGACCCGGAATGCTCCCCGGTAGGTCCAGGCCCTTCTCTTTGACTCCGCTGGCCTCAGGGGTGGTAGGGATGCTCTGGATGAGAGGCATCGGCCTGGGCACCCTCAGCAGCCTCTGAGAGGTGGCTCGGGGGATGGTGCTGTGCAGGGGAACTCCTTGGGGGCCTCCCCCTGGATCCAGAGAGGCTGTACAGGGATGGGGATGGGAAATCAGTTAGTCCCAGAAGAACAGGGAGTGGAAGGTGGATTCAGACCCCAGCAACGGGGCCTTCTGCCCTGGGAAGGACTGGGATGGCGAGGAGAGAGATCAGATCTGTCCCCAACCCCACCACTGGTAGACTGAGCAAGCAGCCACTTCTGAGTGTCTGTGCCATTCCAGAAAGGGCCAATCCAAGTTACCTGTTTAGAATTCAGAGGCAGCGTGGGAAGGAAGGGAAATAAAAGCAGTGCCAGATCAGGAGGAAGCATGGCAGGTCCTGGCCGTGGGTAGAAGCTATGTGACCTCGAGCAAGGCACTGTCTCTCTGAACCCCATTACACTTCTGTGAAATGGGGTGATTCAATAACATCACTTATATAAGATGCCAGGCAAGTACCTGCCACTGTTTCCCCTTCCTTTTCGGCTGGTGATGTGGGGCGTAGCTGTTTTGACACAGCTAACATAGTCTAAGACAGACCGCCACACTTCCAGCTCCCCTCTGAATGCTTTAGGTGCCCAACAGACATCTTCAGCGCCCTGTGCCCCACCCCATCTCACCCCACAGCCATGCCTCAGGCAAAGGCACAGGGCAAGAAGCACTGGGTTGGGCCAAGAGCTCAGGGTTATCTTTGTAAATATCAGTGATGAGGAATAAAAAAAAAAAAAAGACTAGCATTTTAACTTTCATTCTGGCCTCAACAAAACCACTGCATCAAAACAGCCAAGTCAGGCCAGGCGCAGTGGCTCACGCCTGTAATCCCACACACTTTGGGAGGCCGAGAACGGGAGGATCACTGGAGGTCAGAAGTTCAAGACCAGCCTGGCCAACATGGTGAAACCCCATCTCTACTAAAAATTAGCCGGGCGTGGTGGCACATGCCTGTAGTCCCAGCTACCGGGGAGGCTGAGGCAGGAGAATCGCTTGAACCTGGGAGGTGGAGGTTGCGGTGAGCCGAGATCGCACCACTGCACTCTAGACTGGGCAACAGAGCAAGACTCGGTCTCAAAAAAAAAAAAAAGATTAGCTGGGCCTAGTGGTGGTTGTCTGTAATCCCAGCAACTCAGGAGACTGAGGCAGGAGAATCACTTGAACCCAGAGGTTGCAGTGAGCCAAAATCGCACCACTGCACTCCAGCCTGGGTGACAGAGCGAGACTCTGTTCCAGAAAAAAAAAATTAAAAAAAAATAAACCAGCCAAGTCAAAATATCATCTCTGTTCCTGCACACTCGCTCCCCTCCTGGCTTCCGGTGCTGGTTCTGTTCTGTCTTGGAGCACTGTTGTGTTGTGGTTAGCCTGTGGGGAGCTGAAAGGATGGAAAAGAAGGGGTGTGGTCAAGTGGAGACTGTGCCACTTGCCGGGCCACCTTGAGCCCCAGCTGGGTCAGGGCACAGAGGAGTCAACTCAGCCTCAATGCAGGGGCCAGAGCAGCCCCAGCACTGCCCGGGGGCCAGAGATCCCCGGCCCTCCATGCTTGCTGAGGGGCCTGATAAGTCTATAGGTCACTGCCCATCAGAACATTAGGTAGAACAACTCCATTCTTTTTTTCCCTATGCTGGAACTTTGTAAAAAAGAAATGAAATATCTAGAAAAGGGCTTCAAGCCCCTAAGGGAGAGAGTTGTTGGTCTGGCAGCTCTAGGAGTTGTACCTACTGGAAGTTCTAAGGAAGCTTCTCGGGCATTCCAACCCCACCTTCTGCCTCCATAATGTGCAGCCAGGACAATTCCTCCCAGAGGCTCCCTGGCATTGTCCTGGGCTCCCCGGGAGCTGGAGACACCCCACGGCTCCAGGGAGAGGCTCAGCAGGTGGAGCAGTCTGCACAGGGGAGGGGAAGAACAGCCAACCACAACCCCAGGCTTGACGGCAGCAACCACGTGCCTCTTGAGAGCACTTCCCCTTTCTTCCTAAGACCTCAAGACTTCTTATTGCTCTTGTTACCCAAGAGTTCATTCCGCTGAAAAGAGCCCGTATGATTCACCCAGAAGAGGAGAGAAGGAAGGAAAATAGTAACAATGTATTAAGTTCTTCCCATATGCCAGGTGTTGAGAATTCTGTGTACAAGTTTTCATTAAACCCCCACAGTAACACAGAAGTATTATTAATAGTGTCCCCATTCCACAGAGGAGGAAATCGAGGCCTGAAATGTTACCGACCTGCCCAAGGCCCCAGAGCCAGTGAGTATCGGGGCTAAGATTTGAACTTGGCTTGTCCACCACACAGATGAGAGACAGTATAAAGTGCCTGCTGTTGAATCCCTTGTTCATCTGCTCAACAAACGTTTCTTGAGAGCCTCCTAGCTGCCAAGCGACTGTGCCTCACACCGAGATCTCAGTCACTGCCCTCTTGGAGCTGACAATTACATGCAAGATTCAGGTTTTAAATAGTCACAAAAGTAAAAATATAAATGCAAACCATGAAAAGAACTGAAGGAAAAAAATGATAGGGCATTATTGGAGAGCATCCTAAGGGGCAAACTCACATTGGGGAGTCAAGGAGGCCTCTTTGAGGAGGGCTTTGAAGCCAAGAAGGGAGGCTGGGTGGGGATTTTCTGAGTGGGAAACGGAGGAGGGGTGGGGGAGGAGCAGTGGCTCTAAACCTCAGGCAGGAAAGAGCCCACAAGCCCCAGGCCCTGGACAGCAGAGACCGAAGGCAGAGAGTGACACAGTTGGGGTGAGGCCAGGGCCAGAAGGTCTTGTGCATAAGGGAACATTTGGGATCTTAGTCTAAGCACATCCAAAACCTACTGGCTGATTTTGAGCATAGTTGGTGGAAATGGGAAGAACATTTGCTTAAAAGGATCCTTCTGGAGCAAGACTAGAAGGCGCAAGGGTGGGAATGAAGAGGCCAGTCGGGAAGCACTGCAGAGCCCGGGAGGGAGGCTCAGCTCCAAGGAGGTCGCTGAAGCCATAGAGAAGGTACCTGGTATGTACCCACCGATCACCCCCAGGGCATCCCAGCATGCCACCTGGAAGCCTGCTGACCCTCACAGCCCTGGAGGCCTGCGGCCCTTGACCTGGAAGTGGGTGGGTGAGGGGTGGGCAGGGGCCAGTGCTCACCTCGGGAAGACGCTGCCAAGCCCTCTGAGAGCCTCCTTTTCTTGAGCTTGTCCTTAATCTGGATGGTGTCCCTGGCCACGCTGTTGGCCTCTGACTCCGGAGAAGGGAGGAGCACCAGGGGCTGGTCCCCCAAAGACAAGGCCCTGAGGTTCCTGGGGTGACCATTCCTTGCCTGCCAGCCCTTGGAAGGGGTGTCCAGCTTGAGGCCACCCAGCTGTCCGAGTCCACGCAGGAGCTGTGACGGTTCCTCGTTGTTCAGCAGGGCTCTTGGCTCAGGCTGGAGAGAACCTGAGGGGGACAGAGGTGTGAATGGCTTGGCACGCAGTACCCAGGGTGGCACCAGGCACCAGCAAGCTCCTTGACATTGCTTCCTTCTAACAGGCAGCCACTTGCCTGGTGAAACCCAGTCATTTAATGTTTCAGTCACTCCTGGGGACGAGTCATTCATTCGACAGTGTCTCTGAAGCACCTAATCTTCACAAGACCCATGCCACAAGGTGCTCAGGACAAAAGGGGGAATCCACAGGCAGTCCTATGGCAGCACAGACAAGAGGCCGTGAATCATAGGGAAGGTCGTCTGCCCAGGGACCACCATCCACCAATCTCCAGGGTCCAACAAAGTCATCAGATCCCCGAGCACTGACCTATGCCAAGCACAGACTACAAGGAGGAACTCAGGCATCTCAGAGCAAATCACCCCCACCCCCAGCAGACACACCAGATGGGAGAGAAACAAAATACTCTGCACATTTAGAGGAGGTAAGAGGTTCTAGAAGACCTTCAGGAAGTGGTGCTCTTCACCTGGGCCCTGGGGGAGCATTCAGACAGGTGGGCTCTCAGAAGCTTGGCCACAACCCAGCCCCTCCAGAGACCCAGGCTGCAGATGCTGGACAAGTGGCAGAGACGCTGAGTGGACATCTTGAGAGGGGCCCCCTCCCCATTGCCAACCTGGGTGCTGAGTGCACTCCCAGGTCCAGGCGCATGCAGAGAGCCCTGCTCCCTATTCCTGCGGGTCCCCCTCTGCACACCTCCAACCTCTGAGGCACAGGATCAAAAGAACCTGCCTTTGAAAGAATCAAAGGGTATTTTCAGCAGGAGCCACAGGAAAAATAACACCTGCTGGTAGCTCGAGAACACAGCCGGCATCTACCACACTCACTCCCCGCTCCAGGATGAGGCCAGGGGCCCTGACCAGGTGAGGTCTTCCCATCTCACCTTCTCCATGAGGCAGACTGGAGTTGATGCTTCCAGGCGGGAGCACCCGGGGCCCAGCACTGGTCCGAGGGATGCTCCCGCAGTACACGGCCACGGGGACCAGGACCTTGGCTGGAGACAGAAGCACAGGAGAGCAGCACCTGAGAGTCCTCCAAGGCCAAGACTGGGAGCAAACCAAGAACACCCGGCCGTAACCCTGAGCACTCCACCCCGCAGGGTCCCTGCCCAAAAAACCAAGGCATGTGGTGGCCCCACCCCCAACACCAGAGCCTGGCAGGGCCAGGCAGGGTGCCTGTGATCTCCACCAAATCCCTCCAACCCCGCTTGCCCCAGCCTCTCAGCCTGGCTGCCTCCTCCCTCCTCGCATCCTGGCTTTGTTCCAAACCCCCCTCCATGCCTTTTCATCTCCTTCATGGGCACCCCTCTTCCATCACCCAACATCATTGACCGATGGAGTGCCCATCCCCAACCTCTGTCCACCAGCTGCTCTCCCCAGGACACTTCCTCACTGCCACACCCTGCAGATAATCCCCTACCCTACGGCTTCCGCCCTGACCAATCCCACCCGTTACAGAGCATCCAATTACCTTGCCAATTCCTTTTTGGAAGTCCCCAGGCACCTCATCAGCATGTCCTACACTGATCTTCCCTCTTCTCTCCTAACGTCCCTCGGCTCAGCAAAAGACACCCTCTATCCGCGACACAGAGATTTGTGAACACTCTCTGTGCAGTGAGACAGTAGTGGGCAAGGCTGACTCAGTCCTCAGTGAGACTTGAAGTCTGGCGGAGAACACAATGATTAAGAAGCAATGACAGTGCGGGGCCTGGGAGCCCGGCCAGAGATGGGGACAGAAAAAGCTTCCCAGAGGGAGGGACCACTGAGCTGAGAGCATACAGGGAGCAGGAGTCAGGAAAGAGGAGGGGAAGTTCAGCTAAGGCATGCGCTCCTTTAAGAAGCCTTCCATCTTTTGCCAGTTTTTAAAGCAGATTCTCTGTTTTTGTTACTGAGTTGTTTGAGTTCCTTATATATTCTGGTTATTAATCCTTTGTCGGATGGATAGTTTGCAAATATTTTCTCCTATTCTTCACTCTATTGACTGTTTCCTTGTGTCTACAGAAGCTTTTTAACTTGATGGAATCCCATTTGTCTATTTTTGCTTTTGTTGCCTGTGCTTTTGAGGTCACTGCTGGATGAATATCCAACAGAAAGTAAATCAGTACATTGAAGAGCTATCTGCACTCTCATGTTTATTACATTATTCACAATAGCCAAGACATGGAATCAGCCTAAGTGTCCATCAATGGATGAATGGATAAAGAAAATGTGGCACATATACACAATGGGATACTATTAGGCCATAAAAAAGAATAAAAAAAGAATCAAATCCTGCCACTTGCAGCAACATGGATGGAACTGGAGGTCATTATCTTTTTTTTTTTTTTTTTTTTTTTTTGAGATGGAGTCTCAGTGGTGCGATCTCGGCTCACTGCAACCTCCGCCTCCTGGGTTCAAGTGATTCTCCTGCCTCAGCTCCCCCTAGTAGCTGGGATTACAGGCACCTGCCACCATGCCCAGCTAATTTTTTTGTATTTTCATAGAGACAGGGTTTCACCATGTTGCCCAGGCTGGTCTCGAAATCCTGAGCTCATGCAATCTGCCCGCCTCTGCCTCCCAAAGTGCTAGGATTACAGATGTGAGCCACCACTCCCAGCCTGGCAGTCATTATCTTAAGTGAAGTAAGCCAGGCACAGAGAGACAAATTCTACTTGTTTTCATTCATATATGGGAGCTTAAAAAGTCAGTCTCACAGAGGCAGAGAACAGAATGGTGGTTACCAGAGACTGGGAAGAGAAGGGGGTGGAATGAAGAGAGGTTGGTTAATGGGTACAAAAATACAGTTAGATAGAAGGAATGAGAGCTATTGTTTGATAGTATAGTAGGGTGACTATAGCTCATAATAATGTATTGTATAATTCAAAATAGCTAGAATTGGAATGTTCCCAACATCAAGAAATGGCCAGTGGTTGAGGTGCTGGAAATCCCAATTACCCTAATTTGATCATTACTCATTGAATGCCTGTATCCAAATATCACATGTACACCCAGAAAATATGTACAACTATTATGTGTCAATATTTTTAAAAGAGAAAGAGAAGCCCTCCCTCTCCTGTGTTCCCACAGCCCCAGGCACAGCCCTGTGTTACTCTCTCTTCCCCATGCCTCTCTCTGTTCCTGCCCTGCAGCTTCCCTAGGAACAGTCACTGTGTCTTACTCATCTCTGTAGTACTGTACCTGCTGCTAAGTAGGCACTTCACAAACGTGGGTCCCACACCCTCCTGGCTCAGCCCTTCCCGAGCCCACCTCAGGACCATCCATGGGGACCTAAGCCACCACCTGGAGAAGCCACCACGCAGGTGGAAACCCAGCTCGTCCATCCCCAGGCTGCAAGACTCCTAGTCTGGAACTCAGGAGCCTGGGTTCCCACTTTTTCCACCTGTGTGACCTTGAGGAAATAAGCTAACTTCTCTGAGTCTCAGTTCCCACATCAGTAAAGCAAAGGAGTTGACAGCACTAAAGGTTCATACAACATCTTTATCCTATTTCTAGATTTGTAGATTTTTCTTTCTAAGATCTCAGCACCTCCCACTTCTCCACTGGAATCTACATTCAGGTGGGATCTGCTTTAGCACTAAAGTAAGCAGGTCTTTTCCGATTCATATGTCGAAGCCCCGGGGAGTTCTGCCGTGTGCATCATGCGCTGTCTCCTGAACCGCTGCTCTGGCCATCCTGCTTCTCTGCCTTCCTTCCAAATGGCCATCTGGCCCCTGCTCCAGCCCATGCAGGATGAAGCAGCTCTGCACCTTGCTAGCACCCATTTCATCTGGGGCAGAACCAATCCCCTCACTTTCCAGGGGAAACTGAGGCTCACCCAGCCAGCTCCCAAAAGCAGAGCCAGGCCTCAAGGCCCATCTCCTGATGCTAACTGGCCACACACTGCTCCCACTACCCCACTTGGTTGGCTAAGGAAACAGAGTCGTTCACCCTCCCTGAGGGCCCGGCCCATATCCCCTGCCCATCCACATAACCTTGACCACAGAACAGAATTAGCCCCTCAAGGAACCAACCACCCTGCTGCAGAGAGTGGAGATAAAGCTCAGGCCAAGGCCCTGGAACACCAAGCACCTCCTTAGGCCAGGGAGCCACCCAGACAGCCAGCTGAGCGGCAGCATGTGGGGAGCTGGCCAGGGCTGGAAAGGCACGGCCACCTGGCTGTTATCTCCCAGCAGCCCTTTATCCCCACATCTCCCTTTTTCTGGCCCTTGGGAGTGTCCGAGGCAGGTCCCCTAGCCTGGAAAACACCAGCAGCAGGCCTCCCATGGTGCCCCTTACCTTCGGGGACATCGTCACGGGTGCCCATGTCCTGGGTGGAGAAGGTGCCTACAAGGTTGCCCAGAGGCAGCAGCTATTTCTGGGCAGTGAGTACAGTCCTTGGGGGTCTGGAGGGCTCTGACCTGTAACATCCGGGACCTAAGGGTGAGAGGAGAAAGGAGAAGTCAGTAAAAGCAAATTAACACTTTTAAACTACTTCACAAAAAGCCCTTCAGGGGCTAAAGCATTATTGTCATGAAGAAATCGGCCACTAAACCAAAGGATGCCATTTTTCTGACATTGGACTCACAAATGTTTCAGTTCCCAAGTGCGAGGCCGTGTGGTTTTGGGAAGAGTTCGTTATGAAGAGTGTCAACAAAACCCATCAACCTGCCATCCCTTGTCACTGAGACATGGACACCTTTAGGGTCGCGGGGAAAGATGATTTTTTTCAAGGTAGTGTCTGACACTGTGTTTCTCCATCAGTTTCAATTTGCTTCAGATGCCCCTGAGTCCGCCAGCTGCCCTGAAAGCCCATGGCGATGTTGGCCTCTGCAACCACTGATCACACAGGTGTTGGCGGGGCCTCTCGGACACCAGTTCTCCAGTCTCTCTCAGGATGCGCGGTCATGACCTCCATGACGTCCTTGGTGCTCCTTCTCACCTGACTGAACAAGCCACACCTGTGACCCCCCTCAGCCACCGCATTGCCCACACCTTGATCCCTCCAGCCCTCCCTTCAGCCTCTGGGTCAGCCCTCAGCTCTTGCCCTTGACCTAACTTCATTTTATTTCCATGTGACAGGGTCTCACTGCACACTCTGCAGCTTCACACAATTCTATGAATCCTTTGCTGCGATAATGGTGACCCGTTTTCCCCTGACAGGTAACAGAGGTGCTTCCAGAGCTGATCTGTGGTAAGACCAGGGGTGAAGCCCACAGCTCCTAATTTCTACCCCAGAGAGGAGTTCTCGTCCACAAAGCGTCTGGGGACAGGGCAGGAACCTGTGCCAACTCCCTTTTCTGAGCAACAAATCCCAACTCAGGAACTGAGAAACTTGCCTTCTGTCTGGAAGCCAGCCAGCCACTGCCCCACCCAGGCCCCAGAAGGCAGAGTAGCTCCTAGCAACCCTCAACCCAAACACAGGTGTCCAGCCCAGTGCCCGGCCCAGCACAGCACCCAGCCCAGCACCCAGCCCAGCTTGGCCCCAGCCTGGTCTCACTGCTTAGAACCTCAAGACATGAGTTCCCTGTCTGAGGAGAATTTTCCTCACAACCAGGGAGAGGGGAACTCTCTGTTTAATATCTACTGGGATAAGGATGTGGCCACACGGTGGTGAAAAGCAGTCCTGAACCCCTGTGAGACACAGCACCTCTCCTAGACAAGGCGAGGGAAGATTCTATTCCACAGGCACCAACACCCCAAACTTCACCCCCTGAGCTAGGGAAGAGGCTCAAGAGATTGGCCAGGCAGCTGGTTTCCAGACAAAGTCCAGCAGGAATGTGGCAGGCTGGCACAGACCTTCCATGGCTGAATTATAGCAAACAAGCTGGGGTCCTGGGATTTGGGGGCTGTGAGAGTTGCAAGCCCCACCTGTTCCCCATATCTCTAACCAGAGGATACACTTTCTACGAAAATTATATGCAGAAAAGCAATATTTAGCTACAGTCTTTGTTCTCCTTAACTGCAGATTACAATAGCCTGGAAACCAATTAAAATTACAGATTTCCACGCCCCACCTCCAGCCCCTGCTGAATTAGGTCTAGGAAATAGGCCACAGGGATTTTTTTTTCTTTAACTTCTGATTTTTTTTTTTTTTTTTTTGAGACAGAATCTCTCTCTGCCACCCAGGCTGGAGTGCAGTGGCATGATCTTGGCTCACTGCAACCTCCACTTCCCGGATTCAAGCCATTCTCCTGCCTCAGCCTCCCAAGTAGCTGGGATTACAGGCATACATCACCATGGCCAGCTAATTTTTGTATTTTTAGCAGAGATGGGGTTTCACCATGTTGGCGAGGCTGGTCTCAAACTTCTGGCCTCAAGTAATCTGCCTGCCTCGGCCTCCCAAAGTGCTGGGATTACAGGCATGAGCCACCACACCCAGCCTTAACTTCTGATTTTGATGTTCAGACAGGATCAAAAAATCACTGGTCTGTAGTTCAGATTCACTTTATAATAAGATCTCGGCCCTATTTCTTACCCTAGGCTGTCAGAATGGTCATTGCTGCTTCAGTTTCCCCAAAGTGATCACTCTCTAGGAGGCTAAAAAGAAGACTCGAGCCGCCTGAGGTTACGGGATGCTTAAGTTTCAACAGCCACCCCTACTGCAGTGGGCCTTCTGAACAAGACAGTTTTCCCACCGTAGCCTCCTCAGTGGTCAGAGGTCAACATGCCAAGGCAGCCCAGGTTCCCCCTGGTCCCAGGACACCAGCAGTATGGAAAGGAAATCTGGAGCCATTCCATGGCTCGCCAAAGCATCCCCTCCAGCAGAGCCCCTTTGAGACCCTCTCAGGGTCTACACCTTCGACCCTTCAGGCCCCAGGGTCTAGTGCAGGATCTCCTAGGTGCCCGCCCAAGAGGAGGTGGCCAAAGCTGCTATGGACAAACAAGCCTGACTAACGTGAGCGCAGTGAGAGGCACCACCCCAGGAAATCACTTTGGCCCAGGGACCTGTAGGAACTGAATGATCCATATCCAAACTATAAAAATCAGAATCAGGAAGTCCAGCACAAGTGTGGACAGGGCAGACACCACTGAGCACCTGACCCCCAAGGCACAATTCACCGAGGCCCCATCACACCCAGCACTGCTCTGGACACTAAGGCGCTACTCTCCCCTGTTAGAACAGCCAGCCCCTGACCCAAAGGGCTAAATGAGCCAGTGGATTCTGGTGACCAGGATCTTGTCCTCACTTCCTGATGCTCTGAATTGCTCTGCCTGGCTGGCTTCTCCCCTCTCAGCCTCCGTTTCCCAGCCCAGGGAATGGGGCGACCCGGGGTAAGTAACCGTTGTCCCCTCCTCCCATTAATGCTATGGCTACAGAGGTTCCATAGTGACCGGGGCCATAGGAATGAAGAAAGGTGACACAGGGGACTCAAGTGTCAAGTGGAAAGGGAACAAAAGCTAGCTAGGGCTGGCCCAGTAAAGAAGTTCAGTCCCAAGCACAAAACCCCAACCACCCGGGCCTCGCACAGTCCACAGGGAGCGTGCAGCTCCACGCCCACTCTGCTCCCAAGGAGCTGGGCAGACTCATCCCACCCACCACAGCCCTGGGGCTGCCGCTCCCACAGCTTCTCTTTCTGTCATGACACCACCCGCTCCGACTTTCAGAGACCTCTGAGACGTCTCCAGCCAGAGTTCTCATCTCCTCAGACAAAGCTGGTGGGAACAGTAGAGCCCACACCAAGGTGACAGAGAAAGGAAGGAGGGGTGAGCCAGGCTGAGGGGAAAGGTGGCAGCGTTTACAAACTCTCATTCTGGAACCAAAAACATGGCCCCCACTGACACACTCTCGGAAGAGAGGCCTCAGATCTAGGCCCCCCTCCCGTCTCACACCCCACAAGCCAGTATGCACCCAGTGTCCAACTCAGAACTCCCAGAACACTGGCTGTGGGCTCAGACACAGTGGGGCTGGAATCCTGCCCCGGGCCCTCTTGTGTAAACTTGGCAAGCTGATTTAATTCCTCTGAGCTTCAGTTTCTTCATCTGAAAAAAATGTCCTAACAAGGGGTTTTGTTAGGAATAAATGAAGTAATGTTAGAAATAACAGTCCTATTGCCGGCATATAGTAATTGCTCAATAATGTCAGGTGTGAATCTTCCTTCTTTTTCCCTGGGGAAAAGCCACACACACACACACACACACACACACACACACACACACACACACACACCCTTCACACACACACACACTCGCATGTCCATACACCCACACTGTCTTTAAAGTTATGACAGGCCGGCCCTCCATTCCTATAAGACAGACCCAGGTGACAGAGACGCCTCTCATGCGGAGGAGACAGATATGTCTATAGAATAAGAGGCTCAAACTAGATGTTGCCTTCGACCCCCTCCAGCTCTCACCCATGAGCCCACATTTCTAAGCGAATGCTGTCTGTAATGCCAAGCAGAGAAGGTGAACGTTCACTGTCACGCCCGACAGGACAAAGTAACCCTGCTACAGAGATGAGCACTCAGGGATACCCTCCATACTGTCTGACTAGGGCACCGGAGAGGCTCCACAGAAAAGCAGCATCCGTGCTGGGCCTGGAAGTAGGATCAAAACGGGTAGGAAATGGGGTCTAAACGGGTAGGAAGGAGGAATGGCATTCCAGGCCGAGGAGGCGGCCTAAGGCAAGCGTGGAGGAGATGCGCCTGTGAGTCTGGGGTCTGGCAAGAGGATCCAGGCCCGGGGAGCGGGATGAGGGCCATCGGGGGAGACCCAGAATGCTCTGTGAGAGGGTCGGGGCTTGCTCTGCAGCCCCGGGAAACTCTGAAGACTGTGCAAGGAGAGGAATGGCATTATCTGACCTGCAGTTTCATGCAGACCCCTCAAGTGGGGCCTTGGAAGGACTTCCTAAGGAAGGGGAGCCTCGGAGAGAATTACAGCACTGACATGTAGAGATGTCAGCCCAGCCTCTGGACCAGGCACAGAAAATAAACAACTTAACCAGGATTTCACACTGATTATACGCAGGGTTTAGACTGGACAGAACATGCCTTCCTGTATCTCGTGCTGTCTCCCTGTGGACAAGAAACAGCTACCCATGCTTCCAATCACCATACACATACATCTCACCCCTCCACCCACCTCTGCTCCCCTCATGGGAGGCAGCCCAGGCCGTAGACCTGCAGGGAGGACTCTGGATGTTGTCAGGTGACCAACTTATGAGACTCTGACCTCCAGAGTTCGGCCTGCCACTGAAAATGTGAGATTCACTCATTCATTCAAACATGCCATAGGTACTAAGATATGAAGGGGAATAAGACTAAAATCCAGCACCTGCAAGCTGTGTGACTGAAGGCACGTTGCTAAACTTCTCTGAGCCCCAGCTCTTTTAACTGCAAAGTGGAAATACTGCTGTAATCCTGGCACTTTGGGAGGCCAAGGCTGTCTGATCGCTTGAGTTCGAGACCAGCCTGGCCAACATAGTAAAACCTCGTCTCTATAAAATACAAAAATTGGCTGGGCATGGTGGCTCACACCTGTAATCCTGGCACTTTGGGAGGCCAAGGCTGGCAGATCGCTTGAGTTCAAGACCAGCCTGGGCAACACAGTACTGGGCAACACAGTAAAACCTCATCTCTACAAAAATACAAAAATTAGCCAGGCGTGGTGGCCTGTGCCTGTAGTCTCAGTTACTTGGGGGTGCTGAGGCAGGAGGATCACTTGAGCGCAGGAGGTTGAGGCTGCAGTGAGCTGAGATTGTGCCACCGCACTCCAGTCTGGGCGACAAAGACCCTGTCTCAAAAAAGAAAAAAAAAGGAGATAATGCTTATCTCACTTCAATATTGCATTCAATAAAATATGAAAAGCGGGCCCGGTATGGCGGCTTACACCTGTAATCCCAGCACTTTGGGAGGCCAAGGTGGGCAGATCACTTGAGGTCAGGAGTTAGAGACCAGCCTGGCCAACATGGCAAAACCCCATCTCTACCAAAAAATACAAAAATTAGCTGGGTGTGGTAGCACAAGTCTTTAATCCTACCTACTCAAGAGGCTGAGGCAGGAGAATCACTTGAACATGGGAGGCAGAGGTTGCAGTGAGCTGAGATCACACCACTGCACTCCAGCCTGGGCGACAGAGCAAGACTCCAGCTCAAAAAATAAAAATACAAAAACCTGACCACAAGAGAGTGCCCAGAGCTAAGGAACATCCCAGGGAGCAGCAGCATTGAGCAGAGATGGGTAGAGAAGGGGAGACCCTAAGGGGGTCTGATCAAGGACAGCCAGGGAGGCCAGGGGAGTTGGCGCCAGGAGAGCCAGATGAGCAGAGAGTGGTTAGAGGTGTCAGCTCAGCCAATTGGATGTGACCATTATGGAATCATCGGGAGCTTAGTGAGAGCAAGGTCTGTGCCTGTGGAGGCATGCGGGTCACAGAAAATTGCTGAGGTCTGAGGCGTGAGTGGAAGGTATAGAGATGGTGAGTCCAAACAACGCTGGAGAATTTGGATGAGAAAGGCAGGAGAGAGGTTGGAGAGTAGCTGGAGGGGAATGAAGGGTGGATGAAGCTGTGTTGTTTGCTTGTTTGTTCTCTGTATTTTTTGTTTGCTTGTTTGTTCTCTGTATTTTTCAGGGTAGGAGATTCTAGAGCGTGTTCACAGGAGGAGGAGAAAGAGTCAGAAGGAAAAGGCTGAAGACACAGGGGAGGGAGGGGAGCTGATGGAGCGGGAGCCCAGTGCTAACAGCTGAGGGAGAAGGGCACAGGCTGGGCCAGATGGGAGCACCAGTCCTCGGACCCTGGAGGAAGAGCCAAGGGTCCTACAGAGGGAGAGGTCAGGAAGAGAGAAAGGGCACGTAGAACGGCCTTGATATTGGCAGTGAAGAGGGAGGTGAGTCTGCTGCACATGAGAGCTGGACTCAGGAGTGTGAAGTTCTGAACAGTCACGGAGACATATTCTGACTTTAGAAGAACCAAACCATTCCTTTCCTTTCCTCTCCCAGATGCCTCCATCTTTATTAGGAGGGCTTCTTACAGGCAGCACCTACCCTTGTGATTTCAATTGCCATCTGATTATCGGGACTTCCAAGCCTACCGTAGAGCCCAGACCTCCCTCTCTGGAGCTGCAGACAAGCTGCAAGGAGGCCTGGATGGCTCCACCTGCATGTCCATCTTTATTAGCTTGGGGCAGGGCTGGTTTCCACACTGACCCTCAACTCGGCCACTCCTAGAGCTGGCAGTCCCAAGAGCCACTTCACCCCCAACTGCGAGACTGATGTCCACACCCATCAGACCCCCTGTGGGGGCATCCAAGGCCCCCCGCCACTCAGGCCCCTGACTCCAGCTGTGACTGGCATGTGGGGGCCAGCAGAAAGGCCGTTCGCAGATGAGAAGCCCCCCACCACAACTCTTTACCAGCTCTGGGTCTACCACCACTGCTGCAGATGGCGTCTCCTCTCCCATCGTGAGATCAGGTGGGGTTAATACTCCTGTAGCCACTCTGTTCTCAGACAATATAGGGTGCAGCCAGCCAGCAATTCCACAGAATGCAGACAAAGGGACAAACAGTGCCAGGTTCATGGCAATAATGCAGTAACTGTAGTGTGACTGAATGAATGAATTCAAAACTAAAGCACATTGGCCGGGTGTGGTGGCTCACACCTGTAATCCCAGCACTTTGAGAGGCCGAGGTGGGCGGATCACGAGGTCAGGAGATCGAGACTATCCTGGCTAACATGGTGAAACCCCATGTCTACTAAAAATACAAAAAATTAGCTGGGCGTGGTGGTGGATGCCTGCGGTCCCAGCTACTCGGGAGGCTGAGGCAGGAGAATGGCGTGAACCTGGGAGGCGGAGTTTGCAGTGAACCGAGATCATGCCACTGCACTCCAGCCTAGGTGACAAAGCAAGACTCCGTCTCATAAAAAAACACTAAAGCACATCTTCCAGACAGTCTTATTGAGAAGAACCTAAGTGAAGGAATTAACATTTCTTAGTTCCATTTTGCTTTGCGCCCGGGGCAATGTACTACAGTGTGCTTCCAAATACTATGTCATTGAGCTTTGGAAATAGAGAAAGAAAGTATGTATTTTCATCTTCATTTTATAGACAAGATGATTGAGGTTCAGAGAGGTTAAGTAACTAGGTTGAGGCCACAGAGCTACTAAGTAGAAGAGTCGGGGCTGATGGTTTCTGTTCACGGAGGTGGCAGTATTTCAGGGCATTCATTCAGGAGTCAACAGGGTTAAATTCCATCACCTGCTAGCTGTGTGACTTCAGGCACATGATTAAAGTTCTCTGAGTCTCCATTTAACTGCGAAATGGAAATAATAATATCTATCTCCAAGGTTATTGAGAATATTCCACAAAATATGAGAAACATTTAATAGGCTGATTGGGCCCAAGGGCTCGATCCACAGTGGCTATTAATAGTATTGGTTGTTTAGTAACTGTTTTGCTGTGTTCAGATGTTCAGGAAGAGGGGAAATGTCCCTTTTGAAAGCCTTTGGGCCAAGAAGCTACAGAGGCCTGGCTGAGGCTGGACAGCAACACGGAGGTGCCACCTTGTGCAGCAGGAGGTCCTTCCATTTCCTGAGCTGTCCAGGGTGAGCAGGAAGCAGTGGGCAGGCTGGGGCGGGACACTTACAACAGGGGTCAAGTAGCACGTTGCTGGGAAGAACCTTTCTTAACAGAACAGTCTGTTCAGGAGGCAGTTCACACCTGAATCTAATGACCTCCCAGGACAGGGCAGAGGAAGTGGTCAGAAACCCAAAGCAGCACTTCCCAACTGTTTTATGCCCAACGCAGCCGAGGAATGTGGCCATCCATTTGTAATAGCAGCTCAGTGTGGGTATCTCGGGTTGGGGGTGGATGGGCCGCAGCATTTAAAACATCCCCCCTCCACAACCCCAGGAAATTCTGATGTGAGAATTAACAGTCTAAAAGACATAGGAAAGCCTAGGGGGAGAGAAAGTTTTATTTAGGCTGTTTTTGAAAAACAATGAGATAAGTGACAAGCAGGGCTGCCATGTTTGATTGTCTAGGTTGGGCACTGCACGAGGGCATCCTAATTAAGGAGACATCTCTCACACTACATCTTTTTTTTTTTTTTTTTTGAGACACAGTTTCACTCTGTCGGCCAGGCTGGAGGTCAGTGTCATGATCTCAGCTCACTGCAACCTCCACCTCCCAGGTTCAAGCAACTCTCCTGCCTCAGCCTTGCAAGTAGCTGGGATTACAGGCATGTGCCACCATGCCCAGCTAGTTATTTTTTTGTGTGTATTATTAGTAGTGACGGGGTTTTGCCATGTTGGCCAGGCTGGTCTCGAACTCCTGACCTCAAGTGATCCACCCACCTCAGCCTCCCAAAATGCTGGGATTACAGGCATAAGCCTCACACTACATCTTCTCCAAAGTCCTGGCAATGTTGTTTTAGACGATGACTGTACATATTTGTACATTCATTTCAGTCTTTTTCTGATGAATAGAAGAAAAGTGTCTTGAGAAAGAGACATCTTTTTCTAATTCACAAAGGAACCATATGAGTGGGCTGTGGTCCTAGTAACAAAGCGTATGTAACTTATACACAAATTTACAAAATTCAAAATCTTCTGAACCTGCCCCCACCTTTGTGTATCGTGTTGGTGCAAATATAAATTAGAGATTAATCAGAACTTGGTCTAGTAATTTAACAGAATTTCCCATGCCTTTCTTCTGTTACTAAATTTCAAGCTGGAAGGGGCCTTGGAGGTCAGCTAGTTTCCTCCCTTGTAAATGAGGGGTTAATGAGCCGAGATCACACCATTGCACTCCAGCCTGGGCAACAAGAGCAAAACTCCGACTTAAAACAAAAACAAAAACAAAACAAAAAAATGAAAAGCAAAACAAAAAAAAAACCCCAGCAATTTAGTTCTGGAGGCTGGGAAGTCCAAGATCAAGGTGCCAGCTGATTCCACTCCTGGTGAGGACTCACTTCCTGGATTGCAGGTAGCTGTCTTCCCTTTGTCCTCACATGGCAGAGAGAGAGACAGAGAGCAAGCTCTCTGGTCTCTTCTTCTAAGGGCACTAACCCATCATGAGACAACCACCCTCACGACCTCATCTGAATCTAATTACCTCCCGAAGGCCCCACCTCCTAATACCAACACATGGGGGGTTAGGCTTTAACATTTGCATTTGTGGGACGCATGCATTCAGTCTATAACACCTACATAAGGCCATCAGGAGCCAATACCTATCCCAGGGCCCATACCCCTATAGGCATCACACTGGCTGCCAGCTGGCAAGGCCTTCAGCAGGACTGGGAGGAAAGCTTCCTTTTCCAGCTTCCCATCAAGGCCTCCCCAAAATGGTCACCTTGCCACTACAGTGCCTGGTCAGAGCCTGTGTAGTGTGCTCCCAAGGATTAAGGTTTTGGGAGGGGTAGGATACCACCGCATCAATCCTGCCTGAAATCACACAGCCATTGGCTGGGGCTTGGAAGTCTTCTGCTGGCCCTGAGATTTCCACCATCAAGGTAAGAGTTATCCTAGCACTTGATCATAGTCCTGGAGTCTCGAATGAAAAATGGCTTGGTCCACTGCCCCAGGAATGCCTTCTGCAGGGTTTGGCTGATCAGTTGAGGATTCCTGCCCAGTAGCAGGAGCTTGAATCTTCAAACTGTAGACTGTAAACAAGCACATGTACTCAGAGGATCAGAAGGGACTAGGAAGCAAGAAAGCATCTTGTCCAAAGTCTCAGCAAAGGTGTATTGGCATGACTCTAGCATCTGAATGTCTGTCACACCCCAGGAAAGGGCTCTTGGCAAAGGCCTCCCTGCAAGAAGCTCAGAAGACTTCAGACCCCGGCCCTGTCCCTTCCCAATGGCCCATGAGAAAGCCGACTTTCTTGAATAGGAGCCAGAGTTTTGTGTGTGCCTCTCCAGGACATACACCAGGTTTTGCCTGGGAAATATAAATGGCTTCTGTGGAGGGACATTTTTTTTTCTGTCTTTGTTTTGTTGAAGAGAAATCCAAGACCCAGGAAGGGATGTGAGTTGGGCCAAGAACCAGAGGTTTTAAAACACGAAATGGGAAACTCAGACTTCCAGACAGTGGCTCTGGAGCCTGGGTCTGTAATTCAAACACTAAGAAGTATGTGGAATAGTGATTGGTTCTCCAAGAAGAAGAATGGAGGAGAGGGATGGAGGAGTGGGGAGGGCAGAGAGAAAAATGGGGCTCAAAAGCCTGAGCACCATGAGGGGCTGAGATCACAGAGAGCAGAGGAAGGGAGGCACCCAACAGAGGAGGAAAGAGGTGAGGAAGAATGGCTGGGGGCAGATGCTCAACCCCCTGGTAATCAAGAAAATGCAAATGAGATGCTACCACCATCCCACAAAGATGGGCAAAAATTGAGATGGGCGGCAATGCCAAGTGCTAGTGAGAGCACAGAGCAATGGGAGCACTCATGACAGCTGGCAGGTGAGATGCAAATGGGCACAAACCCTTGGGAAAGTGGTCTGGCTTTACCTGATAAAGCTAAAAATGCACAAACCTAATGTTCAGCAATTCCACTCCTAGGAACCCACCCTTGAGAAAGTCTTGCACAGGTGATCCAGGAAAGGAGCTCGAGAGTGTCCAGAGCAGTGCCATGGATAATGGCCAAAATCTGGAAAAAATCTAAATGTCCAACAGGAAAATGAAGGACTAAATCATGGTGCACTCACAACATAGAATATTACAGAGCAATGAAACAAACGACTGCCCCACTCAACACTATGGACGATGCCACAGCGTAATGTTTAGTGAAAGAAGACAGACCCAAGAGACCACACAGGGTATGCCCCTACTTCTATAAAGTTCAAAGAAAGACAAAATTACATCGAGTGTTTAGAAATGCATACATAGGCCCAGCGTGGTGGCTCACACCTGTGATCCCAGCACTTTGGGAGGCCAAGGCAGGCATATCACCTGAGCCAGGAATTCGAGACCAGGCTGAGCAACATGGAAAAAACCCATCTCTACAAAAAAAAAAAAAAAAAAAAAAAAAAAATATATATATATATATATATATTTATATATACACACACACAAAGATTAGCCGGGCATGGTGGTGTGCACCTGTACACCCAGCTACTTGGGAAGCTGAGGTGGGAGGAACACTTGAGCCTAGGAGGCAGAGGTTGCAGTGAGCTGAGATCATGCCACTGTACTCCCACCTGGGGGACAGAGTGAAACCTTGTCTCAAAAAATGAAGCGAAATTAAATTAAAATAAAAATGCAGACATAGATGGAAAACTTGATAGAAAATCAAGGAAAAATTAGTAGCATGATTAACCCTAAGGGGAAGGGAGGCAGCTGTGATAAGGACAGGGCCCACGGGGGTGGGTTCTGGGAGGCGGCCAGTTTTTCTGTTTCTTGGCCTGGGAGGTGGCTACATGGACATTCACTTTATAATTATTCCTCACACTGCATGCATTTTATGCATTCTTCTGTCTGCAATAATAAACTTCCAGCCTCTGTGCTAGTGAGCAGAGTCTGGTGCCTCTGAGGTAGCCGTGGGGTCAATGGGAGGATGCGCTGCCCTCAGAGGCAGGTCTCTCCAGAGCTCAGGTTGACATCTCCCCATCCCTTGCCCCCAACTACCTCCCCCTTTCTTCAAATCTGTTAGTCTCAGGCTCCATGGGCTGAAACTGAGCCAGTCCTGGGAGCCAGCCTGTGGCTAGAAGGCTGCAGGGCCGTCTCCTGCAGGGCATTGGTGAGAAGAGCGAGGGACTGCCCAGTTCAGGATAGAAGCGATTATGGGCCCCTCACACCACTTCCTGGGGCCAGGCACCAATGCCCTGTGGCCTGCCTCAGTGATGCTCCGACAGAGTACGGGCCCCAGTCCCTCCCCTCCCAGCGCTCCTGAGGAAATGGCAGCCCTCTGAGGTCCCCCGCCAGCACCAGCCCTTGTCCTGGAGAAGTGACTGGCAAAACCTTAGTTTCAGGAGACTGAAATGTGCTCCAGAAAGGAACATGCCAATCTCCACCTAACAACAGCATCAACAACAAACAGTAACTTCCATTCTGCGCATGGGCTAACGTGCCAGCTGCCCTCCTGACTGTCTCCATGCTCACAGACAGCACCAAGGGGGCTTTTTTTAAACCCTTCTTCACAGATGAGAAACCTGAGGCTCAGAGAGGCAAAGAGCTCAAGTCCACACAGCCAGAAAGAGGGGGGGTTAGAATTCAAACCCAGAGCAGAGCCCCTCCAAGGCCTATGCTCTCACGGGGTGCCCCAGCACCCCTAAGCACGGGTGCCATCCCCACAGCATGCCCCCACCCTTCCCGGCACCATCGCCCACAGCACCCCAGGGAGCTGTTGCCCTGTGAAGGGTTCACCCTGAGGTAGAGAGCACTGCCCACAGAGGCCATGACTCGGGGAAGGGGTCAGCCCAGGCCAGCCCCTCCTTCCTTGGCTCCCAGTGCTCAGAGAACAGTGAGTCCAACCTCCTCCCCTAGAGCTGCCACATGAAGGCCCAGAAAGGGTCAGAGACATCCCCACGGTCACACAGCCTCCAAGTCACAGCAGGATGCTTTTTCTTTCTCTGTGTGTTTGTGCTTGCTCCAGTTCAGGTCTTTATCCCTCCCTCCAGGGACTTCAGGGGTCCTGACCCAGCCTCCCATTCACCACCTACAATAGATGGCTTGGTGGACCTATCGTCTCTCACCTCTCTGTCCAGAGGCCAAACCCCTGTCACTGGAGGAATCCAGGGTCCTTGGTCTCTATAGAGACGTTGATGCTCATGGGCCCAGGGAGGCAAGGACGGGGCAGCCCCAGGCCTGGCCCACCCTGGCCCCCACCAGCCACACAGTCCTGGGCCGCAGCCTCCTGTCTGAGCAGGGGCTGGGTGGCCACGAGCTCCACTGCTGGCGTGCTCCAGCTCTCAGCAAAGCTCTCCTTGAATAAACAAGGCTGCATAGCAACCACTCGCTGAAGGAGCCCATAGCTCCCTGCGCGGGGGAGAGACCGAGCCGAGAGATTTTCCCCTTGGTCTCATTGCCTCTGTGGCTCACCGGAGCACAGGCACTACCAAGTGGCCGACCTGTCCTCTAGGGTCATGGACACCACAGAAAGAGAGAGCACTGGGCCCCCCTGCCTGGTGACTGCAGCCAGGAAGTGCATAGCTGGCTTGGTGCAGGGATGTTGTTGGTAGAACTCCTGGTTTTGCTCACATGGCCTCTGGGCTCAATCTGCTTCTGTTTACTAACTCTCCTAGAGGCAGAAAGACAGAGTGAGCATCCAGGCCTTGGCAGCAGGCAGCTGGGTTTGAATCCTGATCCTGCTACTTCCAGCTGTGTGCCCTCTGGTCAGAACTTTACCTTTCTTGACCTCAGTTTCCTCATCTATAAAATGGGTACACCAATAGTACTGACTTGATAGGGTTGCTGTAAGGATTTCAAAGGTGCATGTAACAGCTTGTAATTTTGTCTAGCACTTGGTAGGCTCTCCATCACTTCCCCAGAAATCCTTGCAGAGCAGAAAGCCTGTGGCCTTCGTCCCAACCAGATTTCTCCACCTTAACTTTTGGAAAATGTGAATCCTAGCAGCCCATGTGTACTTTCTCACTGAACCCAGGCTCTTGGGCGGAAATCCCAGGCTGGCATCCTCTCTCTGGAATGACAGCCAGTCCCACTCCTCATGCTACCCCCTTCTAGCCCTCACCATCCAGGGGGCACACAGTGGAAGCCAAGGACTCAATTTGTATGCAGGCTTGCAAACAGCCACTCGCCCAAAGATACTATGAATTTTCCCAGGCAGCTCCTCCCCATATTCTGTACAAAGGAATCAGCAGGTGTGTGGAACACACAGGGATGGCTGGTGGGAGGCCAACTACACCCCACGAGGCCTGGGCTGCTGAAATGCTTGCACACGGGGTAGCTCCTTCCTGGGACTCTCTCCTCTTCCCTGAGATGGCCAGGGAGGGCAGGCCTTGGGAGTAGCTGCTGTCATTTACCAAGATCCAGGAGGGAGCAAGGAGGGCCAGCCAATTATGACTGAGAACAAGGTCCCTCTGGGGCAGGTGCTGGCCCCAAGCCAGAGGTCACAGCTGACAAGGCGAACGGAACTCCTGAACTCCCTGTAGCAGAGGCCCAGAAAGGAGACTCTTCCTCCAAACCAGGAACAGTGGCTGTGCGGATTCCCCTTGGGAGACAGGTATGAAGATGCCCAGGTGGGGAAAGAGAGGCCTGGCAAGTTAAGCCCTTGCCCCAAGCCACACAGCTTGTGAGTGAGAGCGACTCAACCATGGGAACCCAGGGCGGGGACGTGACAAGGCAGGTTTTGGTGTCCCTCAGCTCTGGCAGGGAGATGGTGTGTGTGCAGCTCCCCCAAAGCCCATCTGCATGTCGCTGCTTGAGTCGGAGCTTCTAGAACACAGATCCGATGGCCGTGCCCTGCTGGACACCCCTCATGGCCCCTGCTGTCCTTGGTGTAAGGGCCAGACTTAGCACCATGGCTGCCAAGCCCCTCTAATCAGGCCCCACTGCATCCTCCTTCAGCTCCTGGGCTCTCCACACTCTGCCTCCACTGGATGGCCGAGCATTATGTGTTCCCAAGGTGGGCTGGCCATGCTCTGTGCCAAATGCTAGAGACACAGGAGGCAGCACAGCCTGCCCTCAGGAGCTGAGTGATGGAGAGAGGCCCCAGCAGGTAACCCCCTGCTTGTTCCTGTGTTACCTGCAATAAGGGAGGATGGATAACACAGCACAGCCCTTAAGAACCAGGGCTCTGAAGCCCCTGGATTCCAGACTGGATTCTGATCCCAGCAATGACATCTTAGGCAAGAAACAAACTCTCTGAGTCTTGGTTCTTTCATATGCCTAGCAGGAAGACTGCAGATCCTCCCTCCCTGGGGTGGCTCCAGTGACCCTCAGTGTGCCCGCCAGGCACAGAGCACGCACTCACCCTCACTGTGACCATGGACAGAGAGCGAATCCCAGGGGCAGTGAGGTGTGACATCCACATGAAATCCCCGAGGTAAGGAGCAGGCCAGTCGAGGAGCATGGGTGGAAACCGCTGAGGCAAACACAACCTGAGCCCCGGGCCTCTGGGGGAGCCAGGAGCTGCCTGGAAGGATTGGGGCACTCCAGGTGGGGAGGGCAGCCAGGCTGCCACCTGGAAGCTCTCTGGAACTCCCCTGAAGAGACCTCAGAAAGAAAGGGACACGAATCCAGCCCTCAGTCATTTGTTGTGACTTCTTTTCTCATTCTAAAAAAATATTTTCATACTTAATTTTGTTTTCTTTCTTAAAGAAGCCCCCAAATTGTTTAAGCCTCGAGTCTCACAAAGCCTGTATCGACCCCTGGTGGAAGGGCGGCCAGACCCTCGGAAGAGGGTCAACAGCTATGAAGGAAACCAGATGTCACCTGTCTCCTCCAGTGCCCAGTGTTCCCAGTCATTGCCCCGACTCTCCTGGGTGTGCTCACACTGGCCTGCTCCCACCCCCAGAACCGATGAACAAATACTTGATGTGAATGAATTAAACTGACTCACAATACAGAATCACAAGCTGGGAAGAGGGCTCTTGAAAGTACCAAATAAGTAGCCCCCTCCACATCCACAGGGGATAGCCCCCATCTACCCCAGAAATCTACTCAAGATTTCAGAAACCAACATTCTATAACTTTCCATGCTGATGGATTTGGTCAGTGGAAGACTACTAAATTCTGATCCTGTTCCCTCAGTAAAAATGTCACCAAGAGTCCTCTTGGCCCTTGTTGATTTGTAAAGTGAACAAAGCTGTTTCTATGTCTAGCAACAAGAAGGACTAGATACCCTGAACACACTTCCCATTGCAAATGACCTGAGCATCCTATATCCAAATAGTCTCCTGAACACGTAGCTGGGCTATTAGCAGGGACTTCACTGAGGGGTCTTCTCCCCTTGCTCTGGGATGTAGCTGTCATGCTCCTCTCCTCTCCTGGCCTTTGTTCATGCTGTTCCCTCCACCCCAAAAGCCTTTCCCATATCCCTTCCTACCCCTTACTTATACCCATCTCCGGCCGGGCACGGTGGCTCACGCCTGTCATCCCAGCACTTTAGGAGGCCAAAGCAGGCAGATCACCTGAGGCCAGGGGTTCGAGACCAGCCTGGGCAACATGGTAAAACCCCGTCTCTACCAAAAATACAAAAATTAGCTGGGCATGGTGGCGCATGCCTGTAATCTCAGCTACTCAGGAGGCTGAGACAGGAGAATTGCTTGAGCCCAGGAGGCAGAAGTTGCAATGAGTCGAGATTGTGCCACTGCACTCCAGCCTGGATGACAGAATGAGACTCCATCTCAAAACAAAAACAACCAAAAAAAAAACACTTTATACCTATCTCCCTTGGCCAATTCCCACCCACGTGCTCCCAAGGGGAGTCCTTACTGACTCTCTAGAAAAGAGGTGCCTCTCATCTGCCTTTCTAGGGCCAGCACTTCCCTATCACAGCACCACTCATCCGCTGACTGTAACTGCCCGCCCCTCTCCTGGCCCACCAGCCAGCCACACAGACCTAGACTGTGAGCTCCTTGGGGGCAGGATTCATGCCTTATATCTCTGGAACCAGCGCCAGCCAGGTTCCACATGGGTGTTGAGAGAGCGACACCAACCTGACTGCACGTGGGGAGAGGAAGTGGCTGGCGGCATAAGAAGCCCCCGCCCCTGCAACATTCACCGCTTCTTCCAGGACCAGACCTGAGATCCAAGCTGCAGACCAGAGTCTCAGCCCCATACATTGTATGGCAGGGAACAGGTAGGGGGAGTTCTGACCCCCTGGGCTGGTGTTGCCCCCTTATAAACCAGGACCATCCCAGGCCTAGCTGGAGGTCAGATCCCAGGGAGCATGGGGAGCAAGGGCCCCTGGTAGGGACCCTAGGAGGTGGTATGCTCAGGCGCCTCCCCCATCTCTGTCTCAGGTACCCATCCCTCAGGATAAGGTGCCCCCAGGCTAAAGATGGTTAGCATAGGGCATGGCCAAGGGTTCCAGGCAAGTGGACAGAGAGTTGGTTCCAGTCCTGACTTTGTCACCATTACTGTGTGCCCTCCAACAAGTCCCTGCCCTCCTTGGGCTTCCAAACTGTCATTTGTGATCAGACACTGGGTGACCTCCTGGTCCCTTAGAGCCCTGATGCCCTGTGTCCTGGGCCCTGGCCCAGGCTGAGGAGAAAGGCTGGAAGCCCCCCATCCCTTCACAGGCCACGCCCCCCCAGGTAGAAAAGCGGATAATGGAGGCAAGCTGGCACTGCCTCCAGACTGACACTGTGCTGGCTTATCTCCCAAAATACCACTGCCCCACCCCCTCCAAGGCCAGCCCCAGCCTGGAGAGCCTGAAAGGCCCTGTCAGTACCACAGGCTGGGTGGGGGTGCTCAGACACTGCCAAGGACACAGAACAGGCCCCTCCCAACCAGCACCTGCCACTGGGCTGACGTGTTCCCTGGGAAGTTCCTGGGAAACTCTAGAATAATGTATGCAACCTAAGCACAGGATCAGAGAGAGGACTAGGCCAAGCCCCTCTTATCGCAGATGATGGAGTCACACAGGAATTCAGTGGTAATGACAGGATGGGGACTAACGCCTTCTGGTTATGCTGCTTCTGGCCCCAGCTGCCCTTCAGGGCTTCTCCCAACAGAAGCCAACCCCTCATCTCACATGGGGTGTGCCTCTCCCTCCTTTCTCCCCATTCCACAAAAGGACGTGTCAGAGAAGAGCAGCTCCCTGCCCCACAGCCACAGGAAAGCTCGAGAGATGGAGGGCAGGGGGAGGGGAGGAGTTAATAGGTGAGTAAATAACTCCAGAAGCTAATGGCAAAAAAGAATTTGATGGGTTTTTGTTGTTGTTGTTGTTGTTGTTTTTGAGATGGAGTCTCACTCTGTCGCCCAGGCTGGAGTGCAGTGGTGTGATCTCAGCTCACTGCAAGCTCCGCCTTCCAGGTTCACGCCATTCTCCTGCCTCAGCCTCCTGAGTAGCTGGGACTACAGGCACCCGCCACCACGTCCGGCTAATTATTTTGTATTTTTAGTAGAGACGGGGTTTCACCATGTTAGCCAGGATGGTCTCGATCTCCTGACCTCGTGATCCATCCACCTCGGCCTCCCAAAGTGCTGGGATTACAGGCGTGAGCCGCCACACCTGGCCCAGAATTTGATATGTTTTTATAAGAACATGCAAAGAAATAGGAAAATGTGTAAAATGCTCCTAAACTTCCACTTTGTAAAAATTAAGCATATGTTTCACATACTTATAATATGTACATATTCCTGTACATATATTGTCATTTTTTTAAAAAGCCTCCACCAGCAGGGCCCAGTGGGGAGCTGAAATTCCATCCCATCATCAGCAATGAGGAAAGGCATAGGGGTGTGAGGCAATATCCTGCTTTTGCTGAGATGGTATCAGCAAGGCCCAGTGGTGAAGCGAACATCCAATCCCACCTAGATCTGTGTGCTAGACCTAAACAGGATAAATGCCCTGCAAAAAAAGAAGACAGAAGAGGACCTAGAATCTCACAACACAATACCCAAAATGTCTAGGAGACAACTGAAAACCACTCATTATACCAAGAACAGGTAAAATAACTTGAATGAGAAGAGGCAATCAATGATGCAGCGCCCAGATGACACAGATTTGAGGATTCTCTAACAAGGATTTCTAAATAGTCATCATAAAAATGCTTCAATTTGCAATTATGAACGTGCTTAAAACACATTAAAAAATAAAATGTCTCGGCCGGGCGCAGTGGCTCGCACACTGGCTCACACCTGTAATCCCAGCACTTTGGGAGGCCGAGGCGGGCAGATCACGAGGTCAGGAGATCGAGACCATCCTGGCAAACACAGTGAAACCCCGTCTCTACTAAAAACACAAAAACATAGCCGGGCGTGGTGGCGGGCACCTGTAGTCCCAACTACTCAGGAGGCTGAGGCAGGAGAATGGCATGAACCTGGGAGGTGGAGCTTGCAGTGAGCCAAGATCGCACCACTGCACTCCAGCCTGGGTGACAGAGTGAGACTCTGTCTCAAAAAATAATAACAATAAAAATTAAAAAAATAAAACGTCTCAGCAAAGAAACACAAGACACAAAGAAAAACAACTGGAAGTTTTAAAACTAAAAAATACATAATCTGTCACAGGAGTAAAGGGAAAAAAAAAATTTAAGAAAGAAAAATACAATATAAATAACAGCATTAATATGACTATGATAGAGGAAAAAAATCAGTGAACTTGAACATAAAACCATAGAAATTACTCGATAGCAACCAACAGAAAAAATATAGACTGAAAAGAAATGAACAAGGCCGGGCACAGTGGCTCATGGCTGTAATCCCAACAATTTGGGAGGCCAAGGTGGGAGGATCACTTGAGGTCAGGAGTTCAAGACCAGACTGGCCAATATAGTGAAACCCTGTCTCTATTAAAAAAATAATAATAATAATAATACAAAAATTAGCCAGGCATAGTGGTCCATGCCTATAATCCCAGCTACTCAAGAGGCTGAGGCAGGAGAATCACTTGAACCAGGGAGGCAGAGGCTTTAGTGAGCCAAGATCAAGCCACTGCACCCCAGCCTGGGTGACACAGCAAGACCCTGTCTCAAAAAATAAAAATAAAAAAGAAATGAACAGAGCCCCAGGGACCGTGGGACTACAACAAAATATCTAACATTTGTATGACTGGAGTTCAAGGAGAGGAGAAAGGGTGTGGGTCTGAAAAAGAATTCAAAGAAATAATGGCTGGAAACTCTCCAAATATGGTAAAAGATACTAATCTACAGATCCAAGAAGCCAAGCACCCCCACATAGGATGAATCCAAAGAAATCCACATCAAGACACATCGTTAAGAGGCCGAGGCATGTGGATCACTTGAGGTCAGGGGTTCAAGACCAGCCTGACCAACATGGTGAAACCCTGTTTCTACTGAAAACAAAAAAATTAGCTGGGCGTGGTGGTGCACACCTGTAATCCCAGCTACTCAGGAGGCTGAGGCAGGAGAATCACTTGAACCCAGGAGGCAGAGGTTGCAGTGAGCTGAGATTGTGCCACTGCACTCCAGCCTGGGTGACAGAGAGAGACTTCGCCTCAGAAAAAAAAAAAAAAAAGGATATATTATAATCAAAGTTCAGAAAACTAAAGACAAAGAGAAAGTCTTGAAAGCAGCTAGAGATAAACATCCCATTGTCTACAGAGAAACACAATACAAGTGAGAATGGATTTCTCATCAGAAAGCATGGACAACCAAGAGAATGGCAGATTTTTCAAATATTGAAAGAAAAACAAATCTATTAACCCAGGATTCTACATTTTTCAAAAATAAAGACGAAATCAAGACATCGTTAGATAAAGAAAACTAAGAGAATTTGTCACAGTCAGACCTACCCGCAAAGAATGGCTAAGGGCAGGTCAGTCAAAGTGGCTCATTCCTGTAATCCTAGCACTTAAGGGAAGCTGAGGCAGGATGATACCTTGAGGCCAGGAGTTTGAGACCAGCCTGGGCAACATAATGAGACTCTGAGCTCTACAAAAACATTTTTTTTTAATTAGCTGGATGTGGTGATGCATGCCTTTGGTCGCAGCTACTTGGGAGGCTGAGGTAGGAGGATTGCTTGAGCCTAGGAGTTTGAGGCTACAATGAGCCATGATCACACCACTGCACTCCAGCTTGGGTAACAAAGCGAGACTGTGACAAAGGAAAGAAGGCAGGAAGGCAGGAAGGAGGGAAGGAGGGAGGGAGAAGAACGAAGGAGGGAGGGAGGGAGGGAGGAAGGAAGGAAGGAAGGAAGGAAGGGGAAGGGAAGGAAGGGAGGAAAGAAGGAAAGGAGGAAGGAAGGAAGGGAGGAAAGAAGGAAGGAAGGGAAGGAAGGAGGAAAGAAGGAAGGGAAGGAAGGGAGGGGCTAAGCAAAGTTCTTCAAACAGAAAGGCAATCATAAAGGAAGGGAACCATAGAGTTGCTGTCCAAGGAATAAGGCAGGCAGGTGAGGACAGGCTTGAGCCATCTGGATAGAGCCTCGGGGGAGGTGCTGCTCCAGGCCCTGCAGGGAAATGCCAAATCTGTGTTGAAATCTGCTTCTCCTCATCACCCTGTGGGAAGGATGTCAGCCAATCACAGCCCACACAGAGGAAAGAGGATGTGAAGGTGCAGGACTCTAGACCACATCACATGAGCAACAGCGAAGACAAAAAGAGGACTCGGAGGCAAACAAGAGGGCTCCATTCTGCCAGTGGTTGGATAACCAGCCACGAGGGATTGGGCTTGGCCACGTGGCTCGGACACTAATTAACAGGAGTGTAGGAGGACAGACTTCTTAAGAAATGGCTCTAACAAAAGGCTTTCCATTCTTAGAGGTGTTCAAAAAGCCAGACAGCAACTTTCCAGGATGTTTCATAGGAAGCAGGCTCTTTCCACCCCAATATCCCAGCTCCCAGCCCTACCAAGAACCTTTCTAGCTCAGGGACCCTGGAATATGGAGGACATGTAAGACACAGTCCCCTACATGCAAGGTGGAGCCTACGTTCTATTCCAGCTGTGGTCTGGAATCATGCCTTTGGCCAGACTTGCCCCAGAGCCAGTGGGAATCTCCAGCCCAGCCATTCTCCAAGTGTGTTTTGTGGAACAAATGAAGACTGTGGAAAGAAATACAGAACAAAGAAGAAAAAAATATTCTATGGTAAGGGAAGTTTGGGAAACATGGACTTAAATAATGCTGAGGCTGCGTCTGAAGGTGATGAGTTATCTCCATTATAACAGAGTCAGTTACACATAAAACTCGTCCTCCTCTTTCCTCTCTTCTCACTACTCCACTTGACTAGTCTAAATAAATAATACTGACCCGGGGCAGTGGCTCACACCTGTAATCCCAGCACTTTGAAAGGCCAAGGTGGGCAGATTGCCTGAGCTCAGGAGTTCAGTGACGAAAGAGCAAAACCACCCTAGGCAACATGGTGAAACCCCATCTCTACTAACATCAAAAAAATTAGCCACGCGTGCTGGCACGTGCCTATAATCCCAGTTACTCAGGAGGCTGAGGCAGGAGAATCGCTTGAGCCCAGGAGGCAGAGGTTGCAGTGAGCTGAGATCACACCACTGCACTCCAGCTTGGGCGACAGAGTGAGACCCTGTCTCAAAAAATAAAATGTGAATAAATAAATAAATAATACTGAACTCATTTCTTACCTATCCCATGTCTCAGGGCCTTTAATATACACTGTGTATTACGACGTTCCAATAAGGGATAGAGTATGAAGCAATTTCCAAATCTATATGACCATATAGACCTGTTGGTTCATAAAATATCTCTTAAGATCAGAGTTTTCAAGAACAGACATTGCAAAACTCTGCTATAATCTGTTTCAAAGTTTCCAAAGCAACTAGCCCAGAACTTGAGCACAGTCAAATAACAAATTTATCATTCGATTCAAATAATATTTTACTCCTTAGAACCATCAAGAAAAATCAGACCTCAAGAAAGTTGTCCAAGCCAGGTAAGGTGTAGATCTCTCTCCCCAGCTGGTACAGGCACATCCTCATGACTGCCCTTCAGAAAAGCCATCAGAACGAAAAAGGAAGAAAAACCACTCAGGAAAAAATATCTCAGAGAAGAAACAAAACCAGCCTCAGGAGTCAGAAGCAAGAGAACGTGGCTTCCCACCTCAAAAAACCTGATTGAGGATCCCTCCCACACCCCCACCAATCCTTTCTCTAGAGACTATACATTACCGGCTGGTCGTGGTGACCCACGCCTATAATCCCAGCACTTTGGGAGGCCGAGGCAGGAGGATTGCTTGAGCTGGGGAGTTCGAGAACAGCCTGGGCAACACGGGGAGACCCCATCTCTACAAAAAATCTAAAAATTAGTCAGGCATGATGGCGCACACCTGTAGACCCAGCTACTCCGAAAGCTGAGGTGGGAGGATCGCTTGAGCCTGGGAGGTTGAGGCTGCAGTGAGCTGTGATCATACCACTGCACTCTAGCCTGGGCAACAGAGCAAGACCCTGACTCATAAAAAAAAAAGAAAAGAAACTAAACTCCCACCAAACACAAGCGTTTGTGAGCAGTTTCAACCCCCCTCTGGAATGTGATTGACAAATACTTTCCAGAGATTCCCACTCCATACCTGAGGAGCCAGGCTTCAGGGGAGCTCTCAAAAGCAACAAGTCCCAGTCCAGGGTCTGCAGCCTCCAGGCCTGCTGGCTCCAGCTGTGAGCCAGGGCTCCCCAGGAAGGAGAGGCGTGCAGGAGAGGACACACACTTCCTCCTCAAGGAGATGAGCCAGGGCCAGCCGGAGTGAAAGCCAGGCCCAGAGGTCTCTGGGCACTGGCTCTGTTTGATGTGAATGGAAGAAAAGATTTCTTGTTTTTCACAGTTCCCCTGGGTGACAGTTACCATGGATATAAATCAATTTTTGGTATCTGTCAGTAGCCAAATGAATAGAAAGAGTGCACTCCCTCGGAGCCACAGTCAGACAGAGACATGCATGGGGACAGAGTTTGACAGCAAGCTCAGGTCAGCCAATAGAGTGGGCGCAGGTGGGTGCGTTGCTCCTGGGAGTCCACCCTGGGCTTTTAACAGGGTGCACACACAGCCCCATGGCCCTCACCGCCAGGGAGAAGCAACTTGATATAGGTGGATAGTGATTTCCCCACATTAATAGGCAGGACACCCAGAACTCTGAAAGACATTCCCTAGAATACCCAAAGAAAATGTTCAAAGA
This sequence comes from Homo sapiens, assembly GCF_000001405.40. Taxonomy (NCBI): domain Eukaryota; kingdom Metazoa; phylum Chordata; class Mammalia; order Primates; family Hominidae; genus Homo; species Homo sapiens. The sequence goes on along the minus strand of NC_000002.12, from coordinate 28,970,517 downwards.
CAAGCCCCAGAGAGCAGGCCAGGATCCTAATGGCTCATTTAACAATCAGAGCTACCACTTATTATTTGCCAGTCTAAGCGCTTTATATATTAGATCATTTATCTTCAAAACAATCCTTTGGATAGGTACTCTTATTATCCCCACTTTATAGATGAGGAAACTGAGGCTCAGAGAGGTCACTCAACTAGCAGTGGTCACAAAAGGATTAAAACCCAGCTTATCTAATTCTGTAGCAGCTCTACTCTATTCTCAAGACTTCTGGGATGCAGACCCAGCTCTGTCCCTGGGGCCTCATGCAAATCATTAAACTTCTCTGAAACCCATTTTCTCATCTCAAAAATAGGGGAAAAATATTGTTCCTGCCTATGTCCTAGGACTTTTGTAAGAATTGTATACAAGACAACCGATGTCGGGCACGGTGGCTCATGCCTGTAATCCTAGCACTTTGGGAGGCCAAGGCGGGCGGATCACGAGGTCAAGAGTTCGAGACCAGCCTGACCAACATGGTGAAACCCCATCTCTACTAAAAATACAAAAATTAGCCGGGCGTGGTGGTGTGCACCTGTAATCTCAGCTACTTGGGAGGCTCAGGCGGGAGCATTGCTTGAACCCGGGATGCAGAGGTTGTGGTGAGCTGAGATTGTGCCATTGCACCCCAGCCTGGGCAATAAGAGCGAAACTCCGTCTCAAAAAAAAAAAAAAAAAGGAAGACAACCGAAATTTAGGGAAGGGAAGATAAAAAGAAAGAAAATTAACATTCATTAGGCATCTATTGTGTGTCAGAGCAGTTACATTGTTACTTATAAGAGTTATCTCTCATTCCAAGGTGGCTTTCTGAAACTTCTCTCTCATTCCAAGGTCAAAGACCTTGTCAGAGGCCTTGTAGTCAGGAAGCTGGAGTCTAGATTCCAACAGAGGTCTGTCTGGTGCCAAACTTTTTGTTTGGGCGTTTTTGTTTTTCTTCTTGTACTCCAAGATGTCATAGGTACAAAAGTTAATGACCCATTGGTGTGAGTGACCCAAGTCCCATTGGGCCTCCTGTCTTCTGGAATCCTCATTTGTTCTGCCAGTGTAGCTTCCAACTTCTGCATTTGGGAAAGCTGCCCACCCGGGACCAAAGCCCCCTGCCTCTGACTCCACTGTAGCACTCACGACTGCTGCCCCACATTCTGCCAGGCAGCTACAAATGCTGTGTGGCCTTGGGCAAAGCCCTTGACCTCTCAGACCCTAATAATCTCACATTTCAATGTGGCTAAAACCAGAACTGAAAACCTCCATGGCAAATTTCAATCCCCCAGAGATGGCCTGCACTGCAAACCTTGCAAATCTCCTGACGCCCAGCTAGAATCCTCCCGAAACCTCTCTGCACGGCCTATCACGGTGCTCCATCCTAAAATACATGTGGACCTTTGTCCTTCTCTCTGTGAATAATGGATGGCATATTCTTCTGGTGAGACCAAAGAGAAATATCCTGTCTTCCTCTCATGCTGATCTTCCTGGCACTCAGACTGCCTGCACCAATGGCCTCATTCATCCTAGATGCAGAGAGAGCCAGCTTCTGAAATACTGACAGCGATCACAGCAGAGGCAATGGCTCTTTAAGGACCCTTTAAGGGTAATACAGGGGAGTACTTCACTCAGAAGCACGTTCGGCATGCGCTTTTTTCTTTTTCCTTGTTTTTTTTTTTTTTTTTTTTTTTTTGACAGAGTCTCACTCTGTCACCCTGGCTGGAGTGCAGTGATGCAATCTCCAATCACTGTAATCTCCACCTGCTGGGCTCAGTGATCCTCCTACCTCAGCCTCCTAAGTAGCTGGGACTACAGGCACATGCCACCATGCTCAGCTAATATTTTTTGTATTTTTTGTATTTTCAATAGAGACGGAGTTTTGCCATGTTGCCCAGGCTGGTCTCGATCTCCTGGACTCATGCAATCCACCCACCTTGGCCTCCCAAAGTCATGCACACTTTTCCTAGGGTGCATATGGGTGCGAGGAAAAGGACAAAGGTGTAAAGGACCAAGATGGCCTCATTGCAACCAACAGACACACTGAGGAAATGGACAACCTCCGCTGCGGGGAGTGGAGAAGGGCAGGGAGAGAGGGAGCGAGGAGGGAAGAGGGGAGAGAGAGAATATGAGAGCAGAACATACCCATGAATCTAGAAACCAAGGTGGCCAAATGTAGAATTTGCTGTGTTATAAAAACAATAATAATTTAACCATTAAAAAGAGAAGACCTAGCTGGAAAAGAAATAAAGATAATGGGAATAAATGGAAGGTGTGATTTTATACCTATCGCTCTATTGACTCTATTTAAGCTAGTTTTGTAACATTGCTGAGATTTTTTTACTGAACACCTGAGGGTCCTTGTCCCCAGACACATTAAAGACCATCTTATTGGCCCAGCGTGGTGGCTCAGGCTTATAATCCCAACACTTTTGGAGGCCAAGGCGGGCGGATCACCTGACGTCAGGAGTTCAAGACCAGCCTGGCCAACATGACAAAACCCTGTCTCTACTAAAAACACAAAAATTAGCCAGGTGTGGTGGCATATGCCTTTAATCCCAGCTACCCGGGAGGCTGAGACAGGAGAATCGCTTGAACCCAGGAGGGGGAGGTTGCAGTGTCAGTGAGCCGACATTGAGCCACTGCACTCCAGCCTGGGCAATAGAGCGACAGAGCAAGACTCCATCTAAAAAAAAAAAAAAAAAAAAAAAAAGACCATCTTATTTCATCTTCATGCTCACCCTTTGAATTGCTCTTATCTTTGCTTTGTAGATGAGGAAATTGACACTCGTGGAAGGTAAGCAGTTTGCCAAAGGTCACGGAGTAAGCGCTGGAAACTGGATCCTCACCCCTCTAATCAGTGCTTTTTCAATACTTAATTTCTTTATAGGAAAAGTCACGCTAGGTCAGCCCATGGCCACCTCAGCTAGGGCCAGTGGAGGACATTTCATGATAAGAGTTCCAGAGCTTTAATTTCTACATTTTTTAAGCAGAGTGGCCTGTTTGATTTTGTTTTGTTCTTGTTGTTTTGTTTTTTGAGACAGGATCTCTCTCTGTCACCCAGGCAGGAGTGCAGTGGTGCGATCACAGCTCACTACAGCCTCAAGTGCCTGGGCTCAAGGGATCCTCCCACCTCATCTTCCTGAGTAGCTGGGACCACAGGTGCACTCCACCATGCATGGCTATTTTTTTTATTATTTGTAGAGACAAGGTCTCACTATGTTGCCCAGGTTGGTCTCAAACTCCTGGGCTCAAGAAATCCTCCTGTTTTGGCCTCCCAAAGTGCAGGGTTTTTTTAATTTTTACAAGATCCAAATTAATAAAGTCTAGACTTTGGCAAATTTCTTGAAATCTGATCATCTATTTTGGAAATGTTATCTATTTATGCCCATTCACTTGTACAATGCATTTGATGTTGAGCACCTTGGGAGCCTAAAAATGTAATGTAAAAGCTGCCGCTTTCCTTTTTTCTAATGAAATAAAATTCTTCCTCTTGAAACTTTTTACATTTGCAGACTTGCAGACTTTAAAAAATAAAACCTATATGGCTTTCTTTTACATATGAAATTTCTCAAGTCCAGAGTCTTACAAACATCTCTGAAATGCAGTAGGCTTTCCTATGAAACTCATGAGCTGTCATAATACACATGAAAAATGGGTGCCATTTCTCCTGTGCTCTTGGGGAGTAGGCAGCCATTATAAACCATCATGTGGTGCAGATGATATGGTCTTATTTTTATATTTATAGATACATATACACATTAAAAAGGTCTGGAAGGATATATGCTAAAACATTAATTTTGCCTACATTGGGATGCAGGGAATTGTGGGTAATTCTTGCTGCAATTGTTATTTCAAGATTTTCTACTGTAAACATGGATTATTTATATACATTCTTAAATTATTACAATAATTTGGCCAGGCACGGTGGCTCACACCTGTAATCCCAGCACTTTGGGAGGCTGAGGTGGGCAGATCATGAAGTCAGGAGATCAAGACCATCCTGGCCAACATGGTGAAACCCCATCTCTACTAAAAATACAAAAATTAGCTGGCCATGGTGGTGTGCGCCTGTAGTCCCAGCTACTCAGGAGGCTGAGGCAGGAGAATCGCTTGAACGCCGGAGGTGGAGATTGCAGTGAGCTGAGATCACACCACTGAACTCCAGCCTGGTGACAGAGCGAGACTCCATCTCAAAAATAAATAAATAAATAAAAAGGAAAAAAATTAAATAAGCTCACGCCTGTAATCCTGGCACCTTGGGACACCAAGGCAGGCGGATCACCTGAGGTCAGGAGTTTGAGACCAGCCTGGCCAACATGGTGAAACCCTGTCTCTAATAAAAATACAAAAACTAGCCAGGCGTGGTGGCGCACACCTGTAATCCCAGCTACTTGGGAGGCAAAGGTTGCATTGAGCCAAAAATCGTGCCACTGCACTCCAGCCTGGGAGGCAGAGGGAGACTCTGTCTCAAAAAAAAAAAAATAAGCTAAGTGAGCCCTCTGTTTCTGACATGATGGAATAACATGGACCAAATACCCTCTCAGAAGAAACAATGAGAAAACTGGACAAAGTGTGAAACAATTATTTTCAGACACTGGACTACAGGCAGCCCTGCAATTCCTAAGAGAAGGGTAACAGAGGAAGCAAGGCCTCCAGGAATCAGGCATTCTAGACCATGAAGCAGGGAAGGGGCATCCCAATCTAGTGGTACTGAGGAGACAGATATTGGAATCCAGAACAGTTGAGGCAGTGGAAGTCATACGGCAGAGCTCTTAGAGAAGAGGGAGGTAGGCAGAAAGCCTTTGCTTAAAAAACACCAAAAGTCTGCATGGGAGTCCTCTTGAGTCTTTACTCCACACTAAGATGTGCACAAGAGGGTACAATTCCAGGAAGCCAGGCAAAGAGCTGCTGAGAAGCAGTGAGCTAAAGGGTTCCCAGGGCTTACACGGCATCTGAGTCCCAACTATTCAGAAAGACGGATCCCTGTTGATAACTTGGGGCCCTCACTAGGGAACGGGAAAGGCCATGCACATGGCGACGCACATGATAAACCCCAGAGCCATCACTAAAACAACAATACAAAGGAGCAGGGCTAACAACAAGCCAATAGTGAAGATGCAGTGAAATTTTAAAATTATTCAATCCAAAAGTCATGAGAAGAAGGGGGAAAAGGGCAATAAAAACAGATGAGACGAATAGAAAAGAAATAGCAGAGTGGCACACTTAATCCCAATCAAACTGGTAACTAAACTACATGAAAATACTCTAAACATTCCAATTAACAGGAAGAGTTCAATTGGATAAAAAAACAAAACCCCACCAGTCAGAACAGCAAATATTAAAAAGTCAAGAAACAACAGACGCTGGTGAGGTTGTGGAGAAATAGGAAAGCTTTTACACTGTCGGTGGGAATGTAAATTAGTTCAACCATTGTGGAAGAGGGTGTGGGGATTCCTCAAAGATCTAGAACCGGAAATACCATTGGACCCAGCAATCCCATTACTGGGTATATACCCAAAGGAATATAAATCATTCTATTATAAAGATACATACACGCATATGTTCATTGCAGCACTATTCACAATAGCAAAGACATGGAATCAACCCAAATGCCCATCCGTGATAGACTGGATAAAGAAAAGGTGGTACACATACACCATGGAATACTATGCAGCCATAAAAAGGAATGAGATAATGTTCTTTGCAGGGAAATGGATGAAGCCAGAAGCCATTATCCTCAGCAAACCAATGCAGGAACAGAAAACCAACCACCACATGTTCTCACTTATAAGTGGGAGGTGAACAATGAGAACACATGGACACAGGGAAGGGAACAACACATGGAAGGGGCCTGCTGGGGGGTTGGGTGGGGGGAGGGAGAGCTTTAGGAAAAATAGCTAATGCATTCTGGGCTTAATATCTAGGTGATGGGTTGATCTGGGCAGCAAACCACCGTGGCACACGTTTACCTATGTAACAAACCTGCACATCCTCCAGATGTAACCCAGAACTAAAAATTAAAATTAAAAAAAAAAAAAAACAAGACCCAATTAGGTGCTATTTACAAGAAAAACACTTTGAAATTAAAAACACAGATAAAGAGGAAAAAAAAGAGATACATCATACAAATAAGAAGCCACTTGAAAAACCAGAGTGGCTACATTAGACAAAGTAGACATTAGAACAAGAAGCGTTCCCTGGTATAAAGATGGACATTTCATAATGTCAAAAGGGTCAATTCATCAAGAAGATGTAACAGTCTTAAATGTGAATATACCATAACAAAGCATAACATACATGCAGCAAGAACTGGCAGAATTGAAGGAAAAACAGACAAATGTATATTGAGATTTGAATACTTTAATAGGCCTATTTCAGTAATTAATGGGAGAAGTAGATACAAAAAGTAGAAAACCTGCATGACACTATCAAGCAATTTGATTCCATTGATATTTACAGACCATTGCACCCAACAATAGCAGATACACATTCTTCTCTTTTTAGATGGAGTTTTTGCTCTGTCACCCAGGCTGGAGTGCAATGGCGCGATCTTGGCTTACTGCAACCTCCACCTCCTGGGTTCAAGCAATTCTCCTTTCTCAACCTCCAAGCAGCTTGGACTACAGGCGCACACTACCATGCCCAGCTAATTTTTGTATTTTTAGTAGAGACAAGTTTTCACCATGTTGGCCAGGCTGGTCTTGAACTCTTGACCTCAGGTGATCCGCTCACCTCGGCCTCCCAAACTGCTGGGATTACAGGCATGAGCCACCGCATTCGGCCAGGTACACATTCTTTTCAAGTACATAAGAAACCTTCACCAGCTAGGTGCACTGCATGCCTTGGCTGTCATCCCAGCATGTTGGGAAGCCAAGGCGGGAGGACAGGAGGATCACTTGAAGCCAGTAGTTCAAGACCAGCCTGGGCAAATAAGCAAGACCTCATCTCTACAAAAAAACATTAAAAGTTAGCCAGGTGTGGTGGCATATGCCTGTAGTCCTAGCTACTTGGGAAGCTGAGGCAGGAGGATCATTTGAGACTAGAAGTTGGAGGCTGCAGTGAACTCTGACGGCACCACTGCAGTCTAGCCTGGGTTGACAGAGCAAGACCTCATCTCTAAAACGGAAGAAAAACAAAAACATTTGCCAAGATAGATCATACACTGAGTCATAAAACAAATCTCAATAAATATAAAGGATTAAATCCTATAAAATATGTTCTCTTAGAACAAAATTAATCAGAAATATCAAAAAGATCTTTGGAAAATCCTCATATATTTGGAAACTTAAAATCACACTTTTAAATAATCCAGGAGTCAAAGGAGAAAAACAAGAGGAGGAAAAATTAAATAATACTAAGAACTGAATTCTTAAAATGAAAACACCACAGGCTAGGGGCTCATGCCTGTAACTCAGCATTTTCAGAGGCTGAGGTGGGAAGATCACGTGAGCCCAGGAGTTCAAGACTAGCCTGGGCAACATAGGGAGACCCCAACTCTACAAAAAACAAAATTTAAAAATTAGCCAGGTGTGGTGGCTTACACCTGTAGTCTCAGCTACTCAGGAGGCTAAGGTGGGAGGATCACTTGAGCCCAGGAGATCCGGGCTTCAGAGAGCTGTCTGGGCAATGGAGTGAGACCCTGGAGACAGAGAAAAGGAAGGGAGGGAGGATGGGAGGGAGGAAAGGAGGGAAGGAGGGAAGGGGAGGGAAGGGGAGGAAAAGGGAGGGAAGGGGAGGGGAGGGAAGGGGAGGGGAGGGAAGGGAAGGGAAAGGGAGACAGAGAGGCAGAGGGAGAGGGAATCAAAATTTATGGGGTGCAACTAAAGCAGTGTATAGAGGGAAAGTCTACCTTTTAATGCTAAACTGGAAACAATGCAGATCTCCACCAGCAGAAGGGATAAACAACTTGTGGCATATCCATACCAACACATACCACTTGGCAATAAGGACAAACTACAGACACATGCAACATCAATCAATCTCAAAAACATGGAGGATCCGTCATTGGAAAACCAGAATCACGAGTAAATATGTAGGCTGGGCACGGTGGTTCACGCCTATAATCCCAGAACTTTGGGAGCCCAAGGTGGGTGCATTATGAGGTCAGGAGTTTGAGACCAGCCTCGCCAACATGCTGAAACTCCGTCTCTACCAAACATACAAAAATTAGCTGGGCATGGTGGCACATGCCTGTAATCTGAGCTACTTGGGAGGCTGAGGCAGGAGAATTGCTTGAACCCGGGAGATGGAGGTTACAGTGAGCCGAGATCATGACAGTGCACTCCAGCCTGGGTGACAGAGCGAGACTCTGTCTCAAAAAAAAAAAAAAACTATGTATGTATATATAGTGTATATAGCAATATCCGCAAATTCTCCAACTGTGAGACTTACGTGTCCCAAAAAGATGATATAAATCTTTCTCTTCCTTAATGATGATTTTTTTTAATTTCTGGAAGAATAATAGGCCCAACTTCCCTTCTGACTATAGTCATATTAAACAAGCAAATCCCATCAATGATAAATGTCACTACTGTAAAAACTACTTAAGTTGTAAGGAAATATTGTTTCAGAGACTTAAAGTAATTGTAGTTGGAGAAAAAACAAAGAGTATCTTTGTATGATGTTATTTATATGAAGCTGAAGCAAAGACACTTATTCCATAATGATAGAAAGTATATCACTGGTTTCCTCAGACTTGTGGAAAAGAGGGACATTTGGGATTAATTGGGAAGCTGCACAAGGGAATCTTTGGGATAACAGAAATCTTCTGTATCTGGATTGTGTTGTGACTATACAGGTGTAGACATTTGTTGAAACTCATTGACCTTTACACTTAAAATATTGTTATTGATTATAAATTACACCTCATGCCGGGTGCAGTGGCTCATGCCTGTAATCCCAGCACTTTGGGAGGCCAAGGCGGGCAGATCACTTGAGATCAGGAGTTCGAGACCAGCCTGGCCAACATGGTAAAACCCCATCTCTACTAAAATACAAAAATTAGCCGGGCATGGTGGCGGGCGCCTATAATCCCAGGTACTTGGGAGGCTGAGGTGGGAGAATCGCTTGAATCTAGGAGGCGGAGGTTGCTGTGAGCCGAGTTTGCGTTACTACACTCCAGCCTGGGTGGCAGAGTGAGAAAGATTCTGCCTCCAAAAAAATTAAAAATTAAATAATAAATTATACCTCAAAGCTTTTTTTAAACAAAAGCCTTTGTCTACTGCTCTGATGGCTGGGGCCAGTCTCTTGTCACTCTGGAAACTGAGGACACTTGGATTCTACCCAAGCCTCCAAGCAGTGGCATATCAGTCTCGGAGCTTCTAGCTGGTGATGTGCAGAGGGCCTCAGAGGACTCAGGACAGCAGGGTCAATTTTTTTGACCCTAGGCTGCTAACTCACTGACTAGAACTGAATCTGGTTCTCTTCAGTTTTGCACCAACTCTGCCAAGCCACTCTATCTTATACTAAACATCATACTCAAACCAAAAAAAAGAAAAAGAAAGACTTTGTCATTATCTTGCCTCTTGGTGTGTTCCGGTATGAAGTATACAGCATCACCTTTGATGTCTTGTCAAATCGAATCAAGCTTAAGACCTGTGCTGTTTCAGACCATAGCCACTAGCTACATGTGGCTATTTAAACGTAAATTAGTGAGAATGACATAAAATTAACAATTCTGTCACTCAGCCACATGGATACATGTTAGGTGCTCACTGGCCACCTGCGGTGAATGACTTCCATTTTGGACAGCACAGAGAACATTTCTGTCATCACAGAAAGTTGTACTGGGTAGTTCCGAGGTACAACTTCCAGATGATAGAAAATACAGAGGGTACAGGAATGAGTTAAACTCACTTAGGGAAATGATCTAATCCAGCATGTGGCTCATTCTGCAAGACAACTGGCCTGGTCTCCTCGGTGTGTGATTGTTACAGATAAAACTAAGGGGGCAAGAGGGTAAGAGACCGTTTTAGAGCAAAAGTAACTAAAGAAGACTTGACAAACAAACCCAGTGAGTGAGTGTGGATTGGATCCTGATTTGAAAAGAAACTGAATATTAACGTGCTGCTGCTACACTCCAGCCTGGGTGACAGAGTGAGCAAGATTCTGCCTCAAAAAAAATTAAAAATTAAATAATATTAAATAATTAGACAGGAGGATGGTATTAGGGGATTACGGTTTGGAGCTTCAGAGATATAAGAATGGTATTGTAGTTATTGCAGGAGTCATAATCTGTAGGCACGTCACCCTGAAGTAGTTAAGAATAAAGTGTGATGATGCCTTCAGTTTACTTTCTAGTAGATCAGCAAAAATAAATATATGCACACAAATACAGATGAAGAAAAATATAGCCAAATATAGTCATGGACTGCATAATGACATTTTGGTCAATGTTGGACCACATATACAACGGTGGTCCCATAAGATTATAATACAATAGCGTATTACTTGGCTTTTTCTATGTTTAGATACACACATCTCTCTGTGTTCCAACTGCCTACAGTACTCAGTCCAGGAACATGCTGTCCAGGTTTGTAGCCTAGAAACAATGTAGGCTACATAAGATAGCCCACATGTGTAGCGGGCTGTGCCGCCCAGGTTTATGTCAGTGCACTCTTTGATTCTCACAATGACACAATTTCACCTAACAACATCTTTCAGAACATATCCCCGTTGTTAAGGGTCATATGACTATATCAACAGTGTTTTACTTTAAGTGGCGTGTATATACAGATCATCATACTATTCTTTTTTTTCTTTTTTTTGAGCCAGAGTCTCACTCTGTCGCCCAGGCTGGAGTGCAGTGGCACGATCTCAGCTCACTGCAAGCTCCGCCTCCCAGGTTCACTGCCTCAGCCTCCTGAGTAGCTGGGACTACAGGCGCCCGCCACTACGCCCGGCTAATTTTTTGTATTTTTAGTAGAGATGGGGTTTCAGCATGTTAGCCAGGATGGTCATGATTTCCTGACCTTGTGATCCGCCCCCCTCGGCCTTCCAAAGTGCTGGGATTACAGGCATGAGCCACCGCACCCGGCCTATACTATTCTTTTAACTTTTCTGTATATTTGAAATTTTCCTAAGTTGGGAAAAGAAGTGAAAAACCATATTCTTCTCCCTCTTCCCCACTATCATTGACATATGTAAACTCCTGGATTTCATGGACAAAGTCTATGGGGAAATTGATGCAGTTGGTGTATGATGTGGTTAATTTCTTTCTTATTTTGGCTATTACTTCACTATTTAAGGACATGAGGGGGAAACATCAATTCAAGCTTCCTATGCTCAGCAACTGTGTCAGACTAAAGAGCTGCTGCAGCTTCTCTTGACAGCTGGGCACTTTTTCGGGTTAGCATCTGTAGCCCGGTGGGGAGTTTGGTCAGGTCCAGGGAGGGTACAGCCAGGCCAGGGAAACTGGAGGTGCAGCCACCACCTGGAGACTCGATCTCCTCCCATCAGGATTCCCTCCAGGCCCCTCTCATCACGCCTGCTGCTGGGCTACAGTCATTCAGGTTCCGCTTCAGGACTTGGACACCAGAAAAGAGCTGCAAGCACTTTGGAGATTCTCTCAGCCAATCCCAGAGGGCTGGCGCGCAGAAAGCTCACATCCCCACCCTCCACGGGAGTTTAGACAGGAGGCGGCCAGAACCAACTGCTCTCCCAGAAGGCTGGGATAAAAAGAAATTTGCACAAAGCAAGACTGGCACCTAGTGGATGCTTTTTATATTGACGTTTGTATTATACTTCTAACCAGAGAAAGTAACCTGGACAATCCCGACAAGCCTGGTGAAGATGAGAAAAAATACAATTGTAGCAACCTGGTCGTGCTTCCCCTGAATTCACCAAATCCAAGGAACAGCAAAAAGCCAATACACACGTGTGCACTCCAAAATCCAAAAATGGAATGTCAGCCCGCTGTAGTGGCTCACGCCTGTAATCCCAGCATTTGGGGAGGCCAAGGAGGGAGGATTGCTTAAGCCCAGGAGTTCAAAATCTGGGCAACTTAGCAAGACCCCAACTCTACAAAAAATTTAAAAACTAGCCAGGCATGGTGGTGCATGCCCATAGTCCCAGCTACTCGGGAGGCTGAAGCAGGAGGATCACTTGAGCCTGGGAGTCCGAGGCTGCAGTGAGCCATGATCATGCCACTGCACTCCAGCCTGAAAAACAGGGCAAGACCCTGTCCCAAAAGAAAAGGAAAAAAAAAAAAAACAAGGTCTAGTGAGGGAGAAAGGATCATTTGGAGACACCTGAAAAGAATTTGCCATACGCTCTCCACTCATTCAAACTCATTTTGGTTGCTTACCACTAGATAATCTCTTACACCTGATTTCCAACCAATCAAGGACCTCAGTTCTAAAATGCTCAAGTTGCAAATTTCTAGAACGGACCTATTTGTCTTTCACTTTCATCACTCTTGCTTCCTAGAAGGCCCTCCCTCAAATCCTAAAATCATTTAAATCCCTGGCTCTTAATAGATCAATTTCTTTTTTGTCATGACTGTAATGGCTTCACTGGTGAAAGTTAATGACTCATTCTACCTCACATCCTAATTAGTTGCTCAACTGTGTCTCCCTACTCATCCCTATGCCATAGTCCCCCTCCTAGGGACATTCAACACTGTGTCAAATGCAGGGCCCTGAACACCCAGCTGTGAGAGAGTGGCAAAAAAACAAAAACAAAAAAACACCTCTCCTATTGAAGATACCCTCCCCACCCTTGTAGACCCCCTACTCCTTCCCTATCCTATGAAACTGAAGTTCGAAATAAACACACAAAATCATTCATTCATGAGGTAAGAGTGTGGTAAGTATCATGTGAACAAACCTTATCAATGTTGCCCAAACTGGAATGTTCAGATATACACACTCCTAAAGGAGCAATGAGATCATTTCTTCCAGCGTCATGACTCCAGCCAGAGGGAGAAGAGCCACAATTTCCCAATTTTAAAAAATCATCATCATTGTATTACTATCATGTGAGAAAGGTACATTTTAATGTTATAATATTCCGTAATGAAATCAATTCTTGGCCAGGCGCAGTGGCTTATGCCTGTAATTCCAGCACTTTGGGAGGTCGAGGCAGGCGGATCACCTGAGGTCAGGAGTTGGAGACTAGCCTGGCCAACATGGCGAAACCCCGTCTCTACTAAAAATACAAAAATGAGCCAGGCGTGGTGGCGGGCGCCTGTAATCCCGGCTACAGGAGAATTGCTTGAATCCGGGAGAAGAAAGTTGCAGTGAGCCGAAATCACGCCACTACACTCCATACTGGGCAACAAGAGCAAAACTCCATCTCAAACAAACAAACAAAAAGAAATCAATTGTAAATTAACCTATTGGCTTATCACAAGCCCAATCAAAATTCCCATAGGATTTGTTTTTCGTTTTTTGTTTTTTGTTTTTTGAGACAAAGTCTCCCTCTTGTGGCCCAGGCTGGAGTGTAGTGGCGCGATCTCGGCTCACTGCAACCTCCGCCTCCCGGATTCAAGCAATTCTCCTGGGATTACAGATGCCCTCCACCATTCCCGGCCAATTTTTGTACTTTTAGTAGAGACAGGGGTTCGCCATGTTGGCTAGGCTAGTCTCGAACTCCTGACCTCAGGTGATCCGCCCGCCTCGGCCTCCCAAAGTGTTGGGATTACAGGCATGAGCCACCATACCCGGCCAGGATTTATTTTTAACTTGGGTAAAATATTGTGTGGAAGCTCATCTATAAATTGTTACAGCCATACTGAGAGGCAATTTGACGGAATCTATTGAAATTTAAGGTACATGTAGCCTGTGACCAGAATTCCACCTCTCCTTACCCACCTGAGAAAGATGCTGGCACAGGTGCACATAAGGCAGGCACGAGGTCGCCGCAACTTCACTTTACTGAGAAACAGGAAGCACCCCAAGCATCTATCGATCAGGGAATGGCAGCAGTGGTTCTCCGAAGCGCAGCCGTAACACAGCAGCAGCAGCAGCATCACGTGGGACGCATTCTTTGGCCCCCATCTGGCTGAATGAGAAACTCCAGGGTAGGGCAAAGCAGCCTGTGTTTTAACCAGCCCTCCCTCTGATCCTGCTGCAGTTAAAATGAACGTAGTCCTATGTTATTAATTTGGAAAGTCCTCCAAAATATATTGGGTTTAAAAAAAAAAGCAAGCTCAAGTTGCAGAATGCTGCATACAGTATACCATTTATGTGGGGGAAAAGAAATCACTTATTTTCTGAGAGCACATCTGTATGTAGATTCACAGAAATCACAGATTCACAGAAATGATTTGGAGTCCAAAACTCTAAAGTAACAATGGTAGCCTCTGCACGTAATCACTAAGCCAGGTGACGGGCAGTTAGTCTAGCCTTAGGTGTCATGTTTCCATCTTTTTTACAAGAATGTATTTCTATAATACTTGTCTAATTAATATGCATTTTTTAATGAGCTTCCTAGAATAGTCAGTCATAGAGCAGGAAAGAAGAATGGTGGTTACCGGGGGCTGGAGGGAGAGTTTACTGTTTAATGGATACAGAGTTTCAGTGTGGGAGGATGAGAAAGTTCTGGAGATGGATGGTGGTGATACACAGCGTGAATGTGCTCACTGCCACTGAACTGCGTACTTTTTTTAAATGGTTAAAATGGTAGATTTTATATTTTACAACATTAAAAAATAAAAATGTGTGTTTTTTAAATGTTAACAGCTATCTGTCCAGCTCAGTTCCCAATGAACCAGACTTCTAGCATGAAAACTGCCCTCTTCACAAGGCTCCTGGCAGTGTGACCCCAGCCCAGGCAGGGGTGATTGGGCTAGGATGAACACCTGAACCAAAATGCAGCCAATCAGATGTTCCTCCCAGGAAGTGGGAGTACGGACTGGCTCAGGTTCCCAGCAAGAAACAAACACTGTTAAGCAGGGCTAAGAGATTTTTTATAAAGGGACTACAGTACTTAAAACGGTGTGAGTGGAGTTAAGGGAGCCTACGAGGAAGAGTGAGGCATTCTGGGACAGGCGGAAAGCGACCAACAGGAGGAAATTGTCACTAGACTTCCAGCCAGAGTGAAGGGCACAACCAGATGACCAGGGAGGACCCCACCAAACCATAGCCCTGCAGAGTTCAGCAGGGGAATGTAGACTCTGACCGTGTGGCCTCCCACACTCCAATCTCCAGCAAGGGAGTTGAGCTGATGCCATCGGTGGTACTCAGCCTCCAAAGGCATGGAGCAGATGGAGAAAGGTGTGGGGAGAGGGCTGGATCTAAGGGAGCAGAGAATGCCCAGCTCTCCTAAGAATCAGCAAGTGGCTGGATGATAACATCATAACCTCAGGAACAGTCAGGCAGCCAAACAACAGCACGAACTCCAAGGCAGCAGTTAAGAGACCACACAGCACTTTGGGAGGCAGAGGCGGGTGGATCACAAGGTCAAGAGTTCGAGACCAGCCTAGCCAACATAGTGAAACCCCGTCTCTACTAAAAATACAAAAAATTAGCCCGGTGTGGTAGCGGGCGCCTGTAATCCCAGCTACTCGGGAGGCTGAGGCAGGAGAATCGCTTGAACCTGGGAGGTGGAGGTTGCAGTGAGCCGAGATCGTGCCATTGCACTCCAGCCTGGGCAACAGTGCAAGACTCAAAAAAAAAGGGACTACACAAAAGCCCTAATGATTCTGTCTCCTGTAATCCCTCCCTGCAGACAAGCTGTCTCTGTGTACCCTGACAATTCTTTGAAATTGTAATTACACTTGTTTTGCTTCAACTGCCCCAATTTTTGTTTCTTACAACCAAATAATCTTTACTTAGCAAAGTGGGAGAATGAAAAGGCAAAAGATATTTAGGAAAATATTTCAAAGAGGTATAAAGACAACAACAATAAAAATGAATTCTAAAAGCCCCCGAAGTTAAAAATAATGTACTGTCGAGAGACAGCAATGGCATAGAATGGATAGTGCTGAAAGACTAGGATCCTACCGTAATAAAGCAAGCACGAGTGTATAGGATGGAAAGAATAATCCACAGTGTGCAGAAAACGGGCTGTGTGTGTGGGAATCCCAAGTGAGAGCCTCATCTCACAAGACACACCACAAAGAACTCCGTATAGATCAGAGAGGCAGCCTTCAACTGCTTCAGCACAACAACACATTTTAGTTGCGTACCCCCTAAAACAAATTACTTTAAGTATGTGCAATGCACTGGTATGTTCTACTTTAATTACATTTTCTTCTTTAAAAAGTGGTGGCTGCAACCCACTTTAATTATTTCATAATGCACTGAAAAGTCACAATTTACTAAAGTGTAAAAAATATAAACACACACACACAGAGACAACGAGAGAGACGAGAACAAAATGCAAGAAATACCTGCCTAGTTTCAGAAAAGGAACTTTTTTTAAGCTTAAAAATACAGTTTAAAGAAAAATAGTATTGGCCAGTGCAGTGGCTCACACATGTAATCCCAGCACTTTGGGAGGCTGAGGCAGGCAGATCACTTGAGGTCAGGAGTTCGAGACCAGCCTGACCAATATGGTGAAAACCCATCTCTACTAAAAATACAAAAATTAGCCAGGCATGGTGGCACACAACTATAATCCCAGCTACTCGGGAAACTGAGGCAGGAGAATTGCTTGCAATTCGGGAGGCGGAGGCTGCAGTGAGCCGAGATCACGCCACTACACTCCAGCCTGGGTGACAGAGTGAGACTCTGTGTCAAAAAATGAAAAGGCAAACTGTGGAAAATATTTGCGGCACATGTTTGGAAAGGAATGATTCTCTTTTATAAAAAGACTTTTTTTAAGCATGGACAAGGATCTAAACCCACAATAAAGAAATACAAATGGCAATGAGCATTACAAAAGTAGTTAAACTGAGTCATGATGAAATGGAAATAAAAACACTGCTTATGGAGCATAAAATTGATGGAACCTTTCTGGAAATTTTGGTATATTTCTTAAGTCTTAAGGGAGTATGTATGTCATTTTTCTCAGTAAGTAGAAATATCTCATAAGGATACATTTTAAGAAAAATACAAAATGTGTCTGAGAATGTTCCCTCTAGCATTACCTACAACAAATTAAAACATGAGAACAGTGAAAGTACAACATGGGTGGAATAGTGAGAACCACAAACATGATTTCAAAGGATAATTGACAATGATATTGTGTGAAAGATGATAAAATGAATATGTAGATGCCAGTTTCCTAAGAAAAGCATGTGTATTCATGCAGAGAGAAAAATTAAAAGGAGACACACCAAAACACTATAGTTATCTCTGTTATATGATTTTATTTTCCTTCTTTGCCAAATTTCCTCAATGAACATGTCACTGGCTTTCAAAACAATAGATTGTTACAATCTTATTTTAAAAAAACATTGTATTAAGTTCCCTTTTTCACCTTTGGAAAGGGGAACTGTGTCCACCCATAAGGCTGTGTCTGGATTTCTTGATAACGCCAAAGACAAAAAAGAATTTCCGTTAGAACTTATTCCCCCATCATGTAACAATTAACTGTTCTGAAAATAATCCCTTAGCCAGACGCTGCACTCTGATGTTCAACGTGTACCCACAGATGCTGCTCCGTGAGGTTCTTACAGCATCCATGAGACAGGTGGCACTGCTGTTACTCTCCTGTCACACTCCAGAAAAAAGAAGTCGAGTTATAACTGCCACACTGTAGGGTGGACCCAGAACTAGCACTCAGCTTCTGGACCCCAATGCAGTCTCTTCTCACAACAGACTGACTTGCATTCCTGTCTGCCCTCCTTTTATTTCTTGTACCTCATCAAACCACAAAAGTCCCCAAATGAAAGACTGCCAGTTGCACAACAATGTGACTATACTTCATGACAGAACTGTATACTTAAAAATGATTAACATGGTAAATGTTATGTATATTTTGCCACAAAAAAAAAGGGAGAGGCCTTTGTCGAGGTTGAGTCATGAATTAACAAGGTCAAAGTCTGGCTGAATCTATCCAGTTTGTTTTTTAGGTATAACCGTATTCCTAGGGAACCCAGGCTCACCAGCAAGCTATCCCTAAACTATGAGAAAGCACCCTGACCAGCAACCCTAAGTGGGTGCCTGAGGAGACTCAAAACATCCAAATTCCAGCCAGTCAACTGTTTGTTTACAATTCCTGTTGACAAAAGGAGAGTGGTCAGCAGGCAGTAAGACGACCTAGCACAACACACAACAGAGTCAAGAACTCCAACCCCATCAGTACAGACAGGCCAGGCTTCGTCCACACCACCAGCTACGAAGGCCACCCAGTTCATTTCTCTTACCCCAGTTCCACACTCTGGTCCAAACGCAATCTTCCAGTTATGAAACTGGTTTATTATGCAACTCTCCTGAGTACAAAGAAGGGTCACCACCCAACGAGAACATCCTGCTCCACTGAGAGGAATGTTACTTGTCGCAAATAAATACAACATGCAAACACAATTTCTCTTGGAAGGCTGGTTAGCAATTCGACTCTGTGAAATTGCATCAAATCTAGAGACAAGAACAAAGCTTTGGCCCAGCTTTGGAACATCATGACCACACACGACCAACTAAGGGAGCTGCCGAGTCCTCGCTCGACTTCAGTGCTGCTTCTGGTCTCTCTGTTGAACTTTCTGGACAGCTCTAGGTCGGGCAGGAATCTCTAACAAATTAAACTACAACAGGGCCATGGGCAAGCCTGGGGGAAAATGTCTTCATTACCTCGTTTTTATTTCCCTTTAAAGGCCCTAATTTTAGCACCCGAAAGATGTATCTCCTCTCTCTCTGAGCCATTATTACCTAGGATATGCCAGGCCATTTTAAAGTGGTAATTTTCAACCTTTGGATTTTTCATATGACATCCAAGCAAACTTCATTTTGCACTGCTTTCTACACAATGACTTGTAATTGTTCTGGGACAACAGGCGTGTGCCACCATGCCCAGCTATTTATTTTTCTCAGAAATATTTTCATATTAAAAATTACCCACATATATATGAACACAAGTTATACTATGGATGGGTACAGACAACCCAGTGTCCTCACACAGAGTCAGCCAGCACCATGCGAAGACGAAGCACTACCCACCCCATGCTTTGTCCACACCGGGCGTCCTCAGTCTGAATGACGCCTGCTAATCCTGTTACACTGCTACGGCTTCTCATTCTGCCACTGCTTTGTGATCCACCGCACAATTCTGTCAGCATAAGGACAGTGCTGAGGTGCCACAAAAGTCAAAAGCTAACTACATTTGATTAAAAGAAAATCTAATTTTATGCCTGAGTTGTCTTCAAAGACATGATCACAAATGGTCACAGGAGGAGCACTGGAAAAGCCACTGCTGCCTGGATGGGTTCACCAGTTATCTTACCAATTACAACTGAAAGAAACTACAGCTAAAGAATGGCAAGAATTCAAATCTGGCCGGGCGTGGTGGCTTGCGCCTAAGCACCACGCCCAGCCAGCACTTTGGGAGGCCAAGGCAGGAGGATCACTTGAGCCTAGGAGTTTAGGACCAGCAACATGGCAAAACCCAATCTCTATAAAATAAATATCAAAATTATCCAGGCCTGCTGGTGTGCACCTCTAGTTCCAGCTACTCAAGAGGATGAGAGGCAGAAGGATCACTTGAGCCTAGGAAGCATGATCATGCCACTGCACTCCAGTCTGGGTGAGAACAAGACCCTGTCTCCACAAAAAAAAAAAAAAAAAAAGATAATTCAAATTTGAAGAGAATAGAACAAATATCAGTTCCTCCTACCTCATTGTCACTCTTTCTTGGGATCCCTGGGGTCCCCGCTCCTGCCCAGGACCAGGCCTGGGGGCTCTTTCTCTATTCAGACCATGCCCTTGGGAAGCTCACCCAGTCTTAGACAGCTTTAATGTCACAACCATGCCAACACCAAATTACCACCTCCATCCCAACCTCTCCCCAAGTTACGTGGGTATGTACCTGCATGCCTAATAGGTATCTATAACACACCATGTCCAGAACTCAGTTCCTGATCTCTCCTCACAAACCCACTCCACCCACAGCAGCATCCAGGTGCTAGCAAAAAGCACCTGTGAATCATATCTGCTTTCTGGCTTCCTTGCACATCTCATAAGAAATCCCATCAGCTCTATCCCAAATATCAGAAGCCAACCAATTCTTTCCAACTCCAATAATACCACCCTGACCCAAGTTACCATCACCTCTTCCCTAGATTGCTCTAAAAGCACCCTACTGGTTTCTGCCTTACAAGAAACTGTCCTTCAGTGCTTTCTCAACCCAACAGCCAAGGTGATACTGAATTCTTAACACAGAAGGCAGACCATGTCACTCTTCCGCTCAAACTCTCGTCAGTCAGCATGTCCTTACAATGGCCTCAAGGCCCTACGCAACCTGACTGCTCGCTACCTTCTGCTTTAATCTCCTTTTCTCACTATGCACCACATGGACCGCCTCTCAGTCTTTCATAAACCAGGCTCATGCGGACCTTAGACTCAAGCTCTTGTCTCTTCCCCAGATACCCACTTCGCTGACTCTCTCACCTCTTCCCAGTCTATATTCAAATCTCTCCCTCTCAATAAGCCCTATCCTGATCACATATTTAATTCTGCAACAGCACTCCCCCACCCTAACTCCCAGCCTCCTTAATCTGCTATTCCACCTGTAGGTTGCCATCTTCTAACATAGGTCCGTGGTCTGTTAGGAGCTGGGTTGCACAACAGGTGAGTGGAGCGTCAGCCAGCAAATCTTCATCTGTATTTACAGCCACTCCCCATTACTCACATCACTGCCAGAGCTCCACCTCCTGTCAGATCAGCGGCGGCATTTGATTCTCATAGGAGGGCCCTACTGTGAGGGATCTAGGTTGCATGCTCCTTTTGAAAATCTAATGCCTGATGATCTGTCACTGTCTCCTATCACCCCCAGATGGAAGTGCAGTTGCAGGAAAACAAGCTCAGGGCTCCCACTGATTCCACATTATGGTGAGTTGTATAATTACTTCATTATATATTATAATATAATAATAATAGAAATAAAGTACACAATACATGTAATGTGCTTGAATCATCCTGAAGCCATCCCCTCCCCTATCCAGTCCGTGGAAAAACTGTCTTCCACCAAACCAGTCCCTGATGCCAAAAAGGTTGGCATTTACTCACTCATACATTGTTTATGGCCATCATCTCCCTAGTAGAATGTCAGCTTCTCAAAGGCAGATATCCTCCATTGCTGCTGTTCAATGGTTATGTATCAAGCTACTAAATAATCCCTGACACAGAGTAGGCAATCAAGTAGCACTTGCTGAGTCAATGAATGTAGCATGTTGGGCATTAACCTCCAATGGAATTATAACAACCCCAGATATATCAATGCACCTGATGTGTCCATTATGAAGTTCCAATTTCTGAGCCTCACTTGAAGCATTAACCATTGCACTACAGCTTCAAAAGCCCCAAACCTGAGGCTCTGACATCTACTCACACTAAAACATACTCATATTCATTTATACCTAAGTAATTCACTTTTAAAAATTCATCTTAAATACCACCACCTTTTTAGGATTGCTGCCATAAAGTATTTAAACCAGAATCTAATCATAAGGAAACAACTGGACAAATCCACAATATAGGACATTCTACAACATGACTTAATTTATGTGAACTCATTTAAATATTAAAATCCACACACACACAGCATGAGGGTGACTATTCTGAATTATTAGAGCAATATGACAAGTAATTACAATATATGATTACTGACTTGACAGTGATTGGAGGGCTGAAATTTTTCAAAAAAAAGTTTGGGAGGAAAAATTAATCTCAAAAAAGAAAACACACACACAAACTTTGTTGCCTGGTTTAGGAGTGGAAAAAGACAATGAAATATTCTAAAAATAGAAGATTCTTTTTGTAACAACACTAATTTAACTCCAGATTTTTCTAAACCAAAAAAATAATTAGAAATTACCATATGGTTGTCATCATTTACTTCTTTAGGCAGAGTCAGGTATAAGGGAAACCGGACTCATAAGCCAAGTGTTGGTTACCAGTAAAGGACTGAAATTATCAGCACAGGCCTCTTTCTTTACTGTCACTACAGCCCTGGGTTGTGAAGTCACAACCCAGCCAAGTGGGAATGCATGAAGAATCAACTGGCTATAGCTGACACTAGACTAACACAAATGTCTTGGTTCTTTCACTTCGTTGCAAATTCTAGGTTATCCACAAGCTTTGAAAGCATTTACCTATTTAATGCCAGGGGAGCAAAACTGCTTTTTAAAAACCTTCACACCACAAGCCCAAACATGTGGCTGTATTCCTCTACATATACCACAAGACAAGCACTGGGTAAAGATGAATATTTATTCACTTTACAAAGAGAATGGTATTAAATTGCCATAAACAGCTCCATTTATAGACAAATATAACTGTACATTACACCAGCAGCTGGTTCAAACTTGCTTTCCCAAGATGCTTATATGGCTCTGGCTCTTAAGATGAGCACACAAATCTCTGTTCTGTCATTGGTATTAAAAACTCCCTCAAAGATAATGGTTTTGTTTTACATATTCACAGGTGGGAAAAAATAAATCCATCTGCCCAGCCCTTTCTTAGAGGTGAGCTTCCATGTGCATGTCCCCTAGTGAGCACTAAGCCAATATCGGCTCATTCTTTAAAAAAAAAAAAAAAAAAAAAAAAACTACTACTGATAATTTGCAAAGGCTTTTGTAGCACACCAAAATATTTATACATACATAAAAAATCTTGAGTGAGACTTATCATTTTAAAGGTAAACAGATACCCTAACACTGCCAAGAGTAGGTAATGAAAAGGAAGAAAAACATTAAATTATTTAATTATAAAAATATTTTCTTTGGAAAAAAAATTCCAACAAGGTTATCATTAATATCTAAAACCAAAGAGAAAAAATAAACAATTGTTCTTTGATCCATTAGTAATTTAAATAAAAATGGAAACCTCTTCAAAAGCAGCTATAACTGAATTTTTTTTAAAAGTTGCAGGTAATGAGCACTTCTAATCTATACACTGATGATTCTTTAGAAGTAATTTGCAGTCAAGAAAAATCCTTAATATGGCTAATTCTCTAGTTTTTTAATGACCATAATTTTTGTTTTGTTTTAAAAAAATACTTCACATGATAGCTTCAAAAATAAGTGGTTATTCTGGGGAAGCACTCCAAATATTCAATCTGACTCAAGTCAGATTATCACAGTTAATAGACAAGCTAGGGATACTGAGGATTTTTTTTAATTACCATCATTTTTACTCCAGTTTGTAGTTATCCCTTCATATTTTATGAAAATGTACCAAATTAAATGTACTAAATTAAAAAAATTTTCACTAGTGCTGCTTTGCATCTGGATTTGATGAAAGATACCAACCTGAGATAAGAGCTGACTTCTTCACAACAGTCCAGTTCTTGAACTCCTATGGGAAAGGTCTTTATCTGCACTTGTCAATTCTTGATATAACCAATCATACTAGGATATTATATTATAAAAATATACCATATATTGGACACTGATGTCAGTACATTGCAGAAAATGTGTCTATATACTGTGTAAAGTTTATTAACATTTGAATGAAACACTCTTATTTACACAGTCAAGTCTGGGGTGCTCAGGACAGCAAAGTGGCATGGGATCCACTGCTGTGAATTTGGAAATGTGCAGCGGTCCTTGGCATCCTGGCACAGAGGCAGCCCTCACCACTGGGCAAGGTGAGCCAGAGTTTATATAGTTTGACCGGCTTGCTTTGCTGTCTTCATTCTTCTTCACTTTCATTTTCAGGATCTAAATCAGAATCTCCATTTAATTCTTTTTCACTTGCTGTATCTCTGTCCTCGCCATTTTCTTCATCTTTTCCTTCGGCATCCTCATCTTCCTCTTCAACGTCCTCATCTTTTTCACTTTCACTCTCCTCCTCATCTTCATCCCAATTATCCTAGTCGAAATACCAACAAGGAAAGCATTCATGAAGGTCTCATTCTTACAGAGTATGAGGATATAAAGGCCGATGTATATACAGGGAACAAATCACTCACTTCAGAATCCTTATCTGCTATTTCATCATCAGACTCCTCTTCAGAAGACTCTGTAAGGGGAGAAAGAACCCAGCCTTAATTTTAGAACAAAACAGAGGGTACAGCCTGGAAATTAAGCAGAACCAGATTCCTGAATTTACTTTTAGAAATATTATTTATATTTAGCAATCATCCAACTAAGAAATAACATTATTTTATTATTTTTTTTTTTTGCAGGCTGGAGTGCAGTGGAGCAATCTTGGCTCACTGCAACCTCTGCCTCCCAGGTTCAAGCCTCAGGCTCCTGCCTCAGCCTCCTGAGTAGCCGCCACACCCAGCTAATTTTTGGTATAGACAGGGTTTCACCATGTTGCCCAGGCCGATCTCAAACTCCTGGACTCAAAGGATCCGCTCACGTCTGCCTCCCAAAGTGCTGGGATTATAGGCATGAGCCACCACACCTGGCTAATTTATTCTTACATGTATAAAAGTATATTCATTATATTATTCCTTCAAGATCTCACCGGTCCAAACCAACTAGCCAAACCCTTACAAAAATCTCATCTTTAAATACTAAGCCCTATCAGGGCCACCAAATAGCCCCAGTGGATGAGGAAAAATTCAACACAGAAAAGCTGGCTTATAAACGAAATGGAAGAATTAGCATTATTTAACCCATAAAGTACTAATAATGAAATATTAGCAACTGATATATTAGATGTATGATTGTTGGGGGAAAACATGCAAACGTTAAAACAAAAATTAACACAGCTAGATTATTTTCTAAGCACTAAGGAAGATATATCTCACAATGGAGAGGAAAAAACTGATAACAGGCACAATGTGGTTCTTAGTGTGCTGCAATATGAACGATCAGCATTGATGCAACCCTCCAAAAATAAAATCCAATCAAACCTTTAGGCCTCACATCCAGTTTAAAGGAACTGTAGCTTAGAGGAGCAAATTAAAAGAAACCAAAAGGAAGCAAATCCACAAACATAAGGTGGGGCATTCTGTGAAATACACTTCCCAGTCTCTTCACCAAGTCCATGTCATGAAAAAGGGAGTTCTTAAAGACTAAAAAGAGTCTTCAGAAACACAGTAGCCAGATTCAACCCCATGATGCAAAACTCGAGTCTAGTTTGGGAAAAACAGCTTTAAAGGATATTTTACGGATAACTGGAGAAAGATGAAGATAAACTGGGCATTGGATAAAACTAAGGAATTGATTTCATTAGGTGTGCTAATGTTATCCAATAATACAGAATGGGATTCCTATTTTTTTAAGATATTCTAACATTCTTCTTCTATCTACTTTTTCTTAAGAAAATAAATCATTATCTCCAGATGAAGTTCCCTTACATGCCCATCTCCCTAAGCCCATTCCCCAAAAGAAACCACTATTGTGAGCTTCTCATTCTCCAGTATGCTGTTATAACACATACATCATACTACCCATGAATTACACATGTACATATTCATGAAAGACATATGCAGCAGTTCCCCCAATATGTGTTCCTTTTCCCCAGTTTCAGTTTCCCCTGGCAACTGCAATCCAAAAATATTAAATGGAAAATGTACCAAATCCAGGATCCCTAAGTTTTAAATTGCGCCCTGTTATGTGCAGCGTGATGAAGTGCCGTGCTATCTGGCTCCGCCTGGCCGGAGAGGTAAATCATCCCTTTGTCCAGCTTCGCTGTCTACACTAGCCACCCGTTAGTCGTTTAGTAGCCACCTCAGTTATCAAATCGAATGTTGCAGTATCGCGGAGCTTATGTTCAAGCCACCCTTATTTTGCTTACTAATACAATTACACGATGCTACACAGAAGGTATCATTTTTTGACTTGGTTTTGTAATCAAACTTATGCGTGTTAACTCGATCTCAACTCCAGGCACTCTCACCAATGTAGTGTTATGCTAAAGGAATAAACCATTTTAAACATGCTCCCACTAATGAAGAATTATGTTGTTCACAAGTCTTTTTCTTAATTATAAAGGCTGCAATGAACATACTTATATAATCTCTACATATATGTTTTAAAGCTATGTTGTCAAGCCTTTTAGCCTTAAAATGCTTTCACATTCTTAAAAAACTGAGGTCTCCAAAAAGTTTTTGTTTATGTGGGAAAAGTCTATCTATATTTATCACATTCAAATTCAATTTTTAAATTTAAGAATATTTAATCTGTTTACAAATGCCCATCCATTACATGTTAACACAAATCAATTTAATGAAAAACAGTATTTCTGTGCTCTCTTCGGCAGCACATACACTAAAATTGAAAAATGGAATTTCCAAAACAACAACAAATTCTACTAAGTAGAATGGCACTATTAAAAACTTCTCATATCTGCTTCTCCACTCTATTTTTTGGATATGTTGTTTTATTTGAACTATATGAAGAAAATCTAGCCTCCCACAGATGACCGATTGAAAAGCGGAGGACATCATGAGCCGCTCAAAGAGTTCTGGGCATCCCCACAGGTCCTCTGTTCATACTTGGAGAAGTATTGGTCACTGGGATACACACAAGCACTTTGGGATCACTTTGGGACTGCACTTGATGAATGGAAGGATATGCAAATTGTCAACTTTGAGATTACAAAGTTGCTCTCTAAAAAGAATGCACATGTACTCCCACCACAGCATGAGCTCCCATTTCCCAAATCATGGCCAACACCTGACCATTTTCACTCTTTCAAATTTATCCATTTCTCACAATATGGAATGTGATGTGTGATGTGATAATGGTAAAATTTTTTGTTCCATATAAATTATCAGTGTTTCTAACAACTTACTGAGCAGGCTATCTTCTCCACAATGATACAATACACACCATCAATAAACACACCAAGAGTCCACAGAACTACGGGTTTTTCAGGGGTAGCTATTGCCAATCTATTGGTCTAGCTGTCTATTATTGCACATTAACTCTGTAACCCTACACTTCTATAATCAATTTGCTACTCAGGGTATTTGAGGATGATCTAAAATGTTCCCTTTTTGACATTTCCAGGTTTTGTTATCAAGATTATACTTGGCTCATAAAATGACTAAATTGCCAGTACATGACAAAAAGGACAGCCCAGTGTTGTGGGTCATGCTTCTATTCCCAGCACTTTGGGAAGCTGACGCGAGAAGACCGTTTTTGAGGCCACGGTGTACAAGATCAGCTTGGGCAACAAAGAGACCTCATCTCTACCTTTAAAAAAAGAAAATTGGCCAGGCATGGTGGCTCAACAGTCCCAGCTACTCTAGAGGCTGAAGCAGGATGATCGCTTGAGTGTAAGAGTTTGAGGCTGCAGTGAGCTATGATTGACCTCGAGCCACTGCACTCCAGCCTGAGCAACAGAGAGAGTCTGTGCAAAAAAGAAAAGAAAAGATTTGTTCTTTGAAGGCCTGATCAAATAACCTTCAAAATATCTGGGCATATCTTGTGAGAAGTTTTATAAAGTCAATTTTAGAGCTACTGGCTTTTTCAAACTTTTTATTTCTTTTAAAGTCAATTTTGGTCATTAATGTTTCCTTAAAAATTAACTATACCACCTAGACTTTTAAATGTATTTACACTAAGTTTGTTCATATAATGTTCTTCTATTTAAATATTTTCCATACCTGGCCAGGCATGGTGGCTCACACCTGTAATCCAAGCACATTGGGATCACTTGAGCCCAGGAGTTTGAGACCATCCTGGGCAACATAGTGAAACTCTGTCTTTACAAAAAAATACCAAAGTTGGCCGGGCATGGTGGTGCACGCCTGTAGTCCCAGCTACTCAGGAGGCTGAGACAGGAAGATTGCATTGAGCCCAGGAGGTTGAGGCTGCAGCAAGCTGTGATCACAGCACTGCACTACAACCTAGGCAACAGACTGAGACTGTCTTAAAAAAAAAAAAAAAGAAAAGAAAAAAAAAATCTTCCATAACTAATGCCCTTTTTTGTCACTGTATTATACTTGTGCCTTTTCTTTTCTTATCTGATGAATTACAGATTTTTGCCACGGACTTGCCTATTTTAATTAGAGAAGGCTTGCCAAAGGAAGATCTTATGTTGACGTTTTCAAAAAGATAACAGAACTCAGTCACTGAAAACTGAATGTTATAATTCTAGACTCCATCCCATTCCCCCAGTCTTTACCTTCTTCATACACCAACTTTGCCTTCTGTCCAGGGGAAGTTGCTCCCTTTGTCTTCTCTGATGCTGTTACCTGGAAGAAGATAAAGTACTGTTCTGAAGTAGAGTGTAAACATATCCCAAGTATCACGACCACCAGCATACCCAACCTTCCCCACTGCTTGCTGCTAACTCACCCTCCACCACCATAATGGAGGACCTTCATACAATACAGAGCAAAAAAGTCCTTCAAATACAAGAGGGAAAGAATTACTCTGTAAAGCTGAAAAACTCTGAGGTGATTAGAATATCTTTCTGTGCCAAAATTTTAACTGTATAAATATCCTATAACTTACTAACTGTATAACAACTGAAACACAATGGTGAGAAAAAGATTTGAGTAAAAGTTGAAACAGACACAACTAAACTTTCTTACTGTCAAACTGATAAGCTTTCCAAGTTAAAGACTAGATCCTGATTTACCAATTTCTTACTGAAACAGGGAGCTCTCAGCCAGGCGTGGTGGGTCACGCCTGTAATTCCAGCACTTTGGGAGGTCAAGGTGGTAGGATCCCTTGAGCCTAGGAGTTCAAAACCAGCCTAGGCAATGCCATCTCTACGAAAATTTAAAAATTAGCCAGGCATGGTGGTGCATCCGTGTAGTCCCAGCTACTTGGGAGGCACTTGAGCGAGGCTGCAGTGAGCTATGATCATGCTACCGCAGTGCAGCCTGAGCGACAGAGCAAGACCCTGTCTCAAAATGATCCTTATTCCTCTCTCCATTCCTACCATGTCCAAAAGTTTTAGCCCAGAACAATATGATTTACTCACTTGTGTAATTAGAAGAATAAGCTTTCCATGAAGGTGTGAAAGTTTCTGAAAAGTTTTGACTCTGCTTTCCATTAACTGGTAGAGTGTCCCCAGCTGGGGTACCAGGTCAGGCAACTAGAGAAAAAAATGATCATTTGGCACTATTAACGTATTAGAGATGACGAACACGCAAATCATGCTCAGCTATGCCTCAGTATTTAGCCACTGCACCACACACATCTGCTTACAAGTACTCCCAGTGGCAGTGGCTACCTGCAACATAGCCTAACAACATCACGAATTTTCACAGAAGACCCTCAATGTCCTAGGAGGAAAAAATAATAGGCTTATAAAAAAAATGATATAAGGGCAAGAGAGTGAAACTGCAAGGTGGCACTTTTCTGTATTGATCAAACTATTTCAGATAAGGCCAATATCCCATATAAAGTAGACAGGAAATTAAAAATGCCTCTACCACGTATCTCCAGGCTAAAGAGGCTTTCCTCTGAATCTTATCCTCTGATGCTAGCATATTATCTACCCTTACTGTAAGGCCCCAAAGAGGCAGAGAAGCCTTTTCCCAGCTCCCAGAGACCAGTAGAACAAAGTACAAAGTTGACCTTTTGCATTTTAAATATACTTCCTGTTAATGAGTCCTCTGAAACATATTTAAAAAATGAAAGTAGGACATTCTCTTTTTTGCTCCCATGTTGCTCTCATCAGAGTCTTTTGTATTGAGAATATAGCTGTTATATTTGGAACACAACACGACTGATAAAGGTCTGGCTCCTCCAGGTTCACTGAGGAATAAAACAATGGTAATTTGCCTTTCTCATAAAATCTTAAAGTCCCCTTGATCATTTTTAACAATATGAAAGGAAACCATGATGGCCATAATTTTTCTATCCTAGATCAACTATAAAAAGCAACTGGAAAAATTTAAATGCCTCTTTTTAAAGGAAGCCATTTGGAAGTCCAGAACAAGCCTCTTCCTGTCCCACTGCCTTCAAATACCTGCCTCTGGTTAATTTTCCTCCCATCTCTGGGCTCTAAGAACAACGCTGGCAGCTGGGCGCGGTGGCTCATGCCTGTAATCCCAGCACTTTGGGAGGCTGAGGCGGGCAGATCACCTGAGGTCAGGGGTTCAAGACCAGCCTGACCAACATGGAGAAACCCCATCTCTACTAAAAACACAAAAATTAGCCAGGCATGGTGGCATGTGCCTGTAATCCCAGCTACTCGGGAGGCTGAGGAAGGAGAATCATTTGAACTCATAAGGCGGAGGTTGCGGTGAGCCAAGATCGTGCCATTGCACTCCAGCCTAGGCAACAAGAGCAAAACTCCGTCTCAAGAAAAAAAAAAAGAAAAAGAACAACGCTGGCTTCCCCACCTCACCCCCTACCCCCGTGATATTCTGATATTCTTTTATCTGTCCCTGTAGCACTACAGAAAAACGGACTCCATTCTTTTTTTTTTTTTTTTTTGAGACGGAGTCTCGCTCTGTCGCCCAGGCTGGAGTGCAGTGCCATGAACTATGCTCACTGCAACCTCTGCCCCCCCGGGTTCACGCCATTCTCCTGCCTCCCTCAGCCTCCCGAGTAGCTGGGACTACAGGCACCTGCCATCACGCTCGGCTAATTTTTTGTATTTTTAGTAGAGACGGGGTTTCACCGTGTTAGAAAGGATGGTCTTGATCTCCTGAACTCATGATCCACCCGCCTCAGCCTCCCAAAGTGCAGGGATTACAGGTGTGAGCCACCGTGCCCAGACTCCACTCCTTACCTCTGATTAGCCTTTACCTGCACTCCTATTTCTAATACTTTAGTAAAAAAGTGTTTCATTCAAATGTTAACTTTAAACAGCAGACAGACACAAAAATTAGTAAAGCAAGGTTTAAGGTCATTGCATTCCAATTTATCACCTCCCTTTTGTGTCCCTGTTCAGACTATGAGCTCCAAGAAGATGGGGACCAGAGTGTTTGGTACATTGCTGAATCCCCATGCCTGGCATAGCCCTTGGCTTACAGAAGGCACTTAAAAATATCAGCAAAGGAAGGAAGAAATGAAGGAAAAGAGCGAGGAAAACCATGGTTTCCTTGATAACTGCTACGGGCTGAGGGGCCCTCCCTATACCATTCTTTCGTCTGTTCTGCCACGACCTTGAATGTTACACCACAACTACTCTGGTTATACCTCAGGAGTTGATTCCAGAAAAGATTTCACTACAAGATCTCCCGGGTCTCTCCTCACTTCTAAGCAAGTAACTGAGGCCACATTAGTGTTGCCCCATTTGCCATCCAGATTCCTAAGATCCGATGTCTGCTGGGATCGTTCATGCAATTGCAATGCCCCTCGGCCACCCTCTCACCAGTGCTCCCAAGTCACCTCCCAAAACCCCTCTCACCAGTGCTCCCAAGTCACCTCCCAAAACTCCTCTCACCAGTGCTCCCAAGTCACCTCCCAAAACCCCTCTCACCAGTGCTCCCAGGTCACCTCCCAAAAACCCCTCTCACCAGTGCTCCCAGGTCACCTCCCAAAAACCCCTCTCACCAGTGCTCCCAGGTCACCTCCCAAAACCCCCCTCACCAGTGTTCCCAGGCCACCTCCCAAAACCCCCCTCACCAGTGCTGCCAGGCCACCTCCCAAAACCCCTCTCACCAGTGCTCCCAGGCCACCTCCCAAAACGCCTCTCATCAGTGTTCCCAGGTCACCTCCCAAGCCTCCTACAGGCTGGGACACCCAAGATCTGTTGTTTCTCTCAACCCCATTCCAGCATCTTAGCGAGTTCTCCCCAAACACACAAAGAACAAACTGCTGACCTCAAAGCAGATTAACCAAGTTTTCCCTAATTCAAGCCACTGAAGGCAAAGGAGTCAGTGACAGAGAACAAGGGACTGTGACAAGGCAGGAGTTGGGTGAGACTGTGTTAAGAAGAGCTACATTTTAAAGAACAATTCAGGATTTTTTTCAACTGTCCACTAAAAACTTAAAGCTTAAAGTAAAGCACTAGATAAAGAAAAAAAATTGAATACTTTTATTTCCAGCTTAAAATATAATGGATGTAATGATGTGGCAAAGAACCCAACTCATATTATGAATACAATTTTTTTTTTCTGGTGTTGCTTTCCCTCTTCTATTTCCATAGGTAATCAAGAGCTGACAGCAGCACCAGCAAATTGTCAGGTAGCAAATATTTATGTTACTGTTACCATTAACTACATTTTATCCTCCTGGGACAAGGCAGGACAGACACATTAGCATGTATAAAAACATTTAAAACCTGCCGTGCCTGTGTGTGTGTCACATCTAAATCTTAGTATGTCATTATATAACTTTTCTCCTTTCTGTATTTGTAAAGATCTCTATATTTTTACATCCGGGGGGCAGAGGGGAAGACCAATTTATAAAAAGCCACAGCAGTGACATCATGAAAGGGCTCATGTCATTGCACCCGGGGTAAAACAAAATCTCTAAAGGAAGCATCTAACGGCTGAAGGATAGATGGGGAAAGGATGGTTTTGTTCAGCCATACTTGTCAAAGTTTACAATCCTTATCAAAGCCAAACTATTCATACTCGGCAACAGAAGCTGAAAAGACTCACCGTGGACAGGTATGATGCATGAACTGTTAACACACATTTTAGCCACTGAACCATTAGCACAGCACTGGAAAAAAAAATCCAAGTAAACTAATGTTCACAAATTCAAAAGTAAATTCAACTGAGCTGTTAGAAAACCCAGACAGACAAGTGAAGGTCTATAAATGTTGCTCTGTGAAAATGACTGTAATAAATATATCACTGTGTATATATCACTTTCCGTTTTTTCTTTCAGATTATCTGAGCTCTGTGTCATAGACCTTGGGCAGGGATTGGGGGCCACATCAGAAAACAGGACAAAACCCCTTCCTCTAAAACAGTTCAAGAGCAAAACCCGTGCTTTACTTCATAATTAACTGATATGAGGGCAGTAATCTTCGTCCAAATTGAGTTCGACTGGTTTTGCATTTTATGTTAACAATAAACATAAAAATCTGTCAAGAATAGCAAAGTCCTCCATTAACATTAAAAGGCAAATATAGACCAAAAATGTGCAAAAAAGTCATAATTAATGAATTATTTAGCTTTCCTCTTTTGTGAGCTCAGAAGGCTAATGCACCCCACGAGAAAAAAAATTTTTAAAGAAAAACTACATATTTTACTATCTAGATACTGATGATAATATACTATAAGCTTAGGATCTTTAAGATGTCATGTTATTTAAATGTTTGATCAGATTATCAAGAAAAAAGACACAAAATTTAGTCTTTTAGCTAAAACATATTTTTACAGAGTCTTAAGCAGCTATCAGAGGTTCGGCAGGTACTATAAGCAGCAGTTTTACGATATCAACACTAAGTTATTAAATAAGACTAATCATTTAAATGACCTGCTAATAAAGCTAAAGTATCAATTTAGGAGTTTTGCAAAAGAAAACTATAATAAAACGCTAAGAATAAGAATCATTCAACTTAAAATAAGGGAGGTGGCGAGGGGTTAATATTTGACACTGAAAGAGTTTTATTAGTTAGAAATCAGAACCACCTAATATTTAATTTCATGCTGTCAGACAACACTGTTTTTAAGTCACCTGTTTAATCTTACCTATTAGGATGTCCTTGTAACCTCTTTGTAAGCTAAGGGAGAGAAAAACACTATTAACAACAGCACTTCAGAGGCAACCAATGCTGTCAATTCCTATGATACAATGACAATATTGAGAAATTATTATTCTAATAAGTAGTCTATTTTAAACCGCATAATACAGTCTATGAATACATTCCCATAATCAGAGTAATTAGCTGATAAAAGTCTAGGATAGGACTTATATGAAGGAATGTCCAGAACCGGCAAAATCCACAGACAGAAAATAGCTTAGTGATTGCCAGCCAACTGGGGAGAAGGAAGAATGGAGAGTGACTGCTAATAGATAAAGGATTTCTTTTTGGGGTGACAACTGCACAACTTGCAAACATACTGAAAAACACTAAAATGTATACTTTAAAAGAGTTAAATTTTATGCTACGTGAATTGTATCTCGATTTTTAAAATACAAAGAAAAAAATCAAGGTTAGGCAAATTTTTATAGTAGGCAGTATTACAAAAACACATGACCACCCTTTTCTATACAAGACACTGCTTTTTTAAGTACAGAGTTTTCCCTTACCAATAATGGTACACCAGCCCACACTGTTAATACCGTAACTATACTTGCAAAATACTTCAGCAGCATGTTAGATAAATGGAATCCAGGTATAATTTCTAATTACAAAGAATACACTCTATTTTTAGGCCTAATTTTTAAAAATTTATACCCACTCTTGTAGGGCAAGTTTCAGTGAAATTATATATACTTTTTTTTTTTAAGATGGGGTCTTGCTATGTTGCCTAGGCTAGAGTATAGTGGCTATTTAAATGTGCAATCATAGCGCATTACAGTCTTAAACTCCTGGGCTCAAGCAGTCCTCCCACCTCCAATTCCATACTGCCAGTCACAGAGATTAACAACCAAACTGTGATTAAGAAAATCAATACATATAAAAATGGTTTCGGTGTTAGGTTAAGGTACCTCACAGGACATACTGGGAAAAACCAAAATGAGAATTTGGGAGCTTTATGTTTGGGGTGTTTACAACAATTATTCCCATGTAGATGATATCCTGTACATACAGCATTCTGTGCCACAAGTTCCAAGTGCCTCCAGGTAAACAGACACACAATAGCCATTAGCAGAATAAAGGTAAAACTGCCAATGACATTTCCTTTCATTGCCCCAGGAATTAATTTCACTTTTTTTTTTTTTTTTTTTTTGTCTAAAGTACTTTCCTCCATCCATTACTCACTCTAAATGCCATGTGTCCTTACGTATTACAAATCCATTTCTCTAACTACTGAATTTTCCATTTAACTCATGGCATTAGGATGCTGAAATGAAAAAAGCAGTCAGTTACCTCTTGTAACAACGGAATAATAGTATGCAGGGGCATCCTTAATACAGTCTTCTTTATAAGGTTTACATTCCTAGTTTGAAGTACTTTCTGTGAGAAAATAAAAGGATTATTAAGATGAGCATACTGACAAACCAAGGACATCACAGAAAAAAAAAAGTCTGTAAAAATGAATCCTTTAAATCATTTAAGACCAAGGCAATAAACTACAAACTGAATTTAGCAAAAATAAAGGTTGGAGGGACTGAATGGAGTATGTTATATTACGTCTTGTGCTTAACAGACAAGCACAGTCTTTGGGTATCAGTAAATTTACTTCATTACTGAAGTAATTTTACTTCTTTGTGTTTTATTAAAACATCTCTAGACGTTTGAATACAGACATATGCCACTTTAAAGATGTTCCCAAACCTCCATTTTATGAAATTTGGGCTGTATCCACCCTAGAGTGAGCAAAACAGTAAAATTACTTAGAAAGCAAGAAATCCTTTTAAAGTAGGTGTCAAAATTTTGGTAAAATTTTATGCCAATCAAAAGATGACATAATGAGAGCTTGAATCAAAACCCTTTAAGCGTACATCTATGGTGGAGACCCAGTCTCCACACTGGGTTACAGCAAAGGACACAGAGCAGATCAGTTCCGGTCCTGCCCCTTAGAAGCACACCTTCTGGCACAGGTTGTTCAACTTCTTCAAGCCCCACATGCTTTACAGAAGTAGAAGGTGAAAATTAGGGTCCTTTTGAAAGGGTTTAGTTCCAGAGAGTCTTTCTAATGGTGTATGTATTTGTTGGTGATGGTTGTTGCTATAAATATGCTCAGAATAGAAACAGCAGTGGCACCAAAAGGCAAAAATAGAGGAAGTTAGTTTCCAACCTATTAATGTATTTATTTGAAACAGGGGCCTCATTCTGCTGTCTGGGCTGGAGTGCACTGACATGATCACAGCTCACTGCAGCTTTGACCTCCTGGTCTCAGTAATTAGTAATGATTTTCTAATTTAAAATCAGCAAATAAAAATACGTTATCCCAAACTAAGTGAAATGATAATAAACAGAGGAGTCAGCCTCATTAATTTCCATCAAGGATGTATGTAAAGAAACAAACCTATAAGCCATAGTTATAACTACTAAGAAGGTGGTGTTGAAGACAAGATTTTTCTTTTACAACTTTACTGCAGTACAAATGAAGCGTAATAAACACCATATATTTAAAGTGTACTGCTTGATCAGTTTGACATACTCTTTACCCATGAAACAAATACTATGATATGATAAAAATAAACACTGTATCACCCTCGGGTCTCCTTGGGTCCCTTTAAATGTATCCCTCCTTCCACCCCGATTCCCAGGCAGCTACTGAACTATGTATTGGTCTGCTTTTCCAGAATTTTTATATAAATAGGAATTTATATTACTTTTTGCTTGGCTTCTTTCTCACAGCCTTAGTTTGAGATTCATGAATACTACTGGTCTATTAATAACACATTACTTATATTGCTAGATGAACAATTTGTTTCTCCATTCACCTGTTAAAGGACATATGTGTTCTTTCCAGTTTAGGGCCATTACAAAGAACATTCATGAGGAAGTCTTTGTATGAACGTATGTGTGTTATTCTCCTGGTAAATATCTAGCAGCAGAATGGCTCCATCATATGTGGATACATCCTCAATTTTTAATAAACTAATTGTTTTCCAAAGTAGTTATACCATTTACATTCCCACCAGTAACATACTTGAATTTCAGCTGCTCTACATCCTCACCAACAGATGGTATTATTGTCTGTCTTTCGCATTTTTATCAACCTATAAGGGGTGTGTGCAAGCTTTATTTCACTGTGGTTTTAATTTGCCTTTCTGTGATAATTAATAATGCATAATACCTTTACATGTGCTTACTGGCCATTTGAATTCTATTGTGAAGTGTCTATTCAAACCTTTACCAACTGCTTTAAAGTCCAGATACAAATCCTTTGTCTAACATGAGTTGCTAATATTTTGTTCCCAGCCCTCAGCTTGTTTTGTTATACTCCTAACACTGTTTTTCCAAGAACAGAAGTTTCTAATTTTGATAAGGTTCAAATGACCAATTTTTTCTTTAACATTTCATGCATTGTATGCTATATCTAAGAAATCTTTCCCCACTCTTGTTCACAAAGATGTTCTCCTGTTTTTTCCCAGAAGTTTTGTAGTTTTAGGTTTTACAGTCAAGTCTATGGTCTATTTTGCATTGATTTTTGTGTAAGGTGAGATAAAACTGAGATCCATTTTTTTCCAATTGCATGTGGTTTATTTCTGGACTCTGTTTTGGCCCCTTAATCTATATTTATTTTTTCACCAATATCAAACTATCTTGACTACTATAGCTTTATTTTGAAATCAACTGGGTGATTCCTCCAACTTGCTCTTTATTTTACCATTTCTTTGGTTATTCCATGTCCTTTGCATTTCCACATAAATTTTAGGATAGGTTTGTCAATTTCTACGAAGGTGGCTGACAAGGACTGCTGGAATTTTAATTGAGAATGGATTAAATATATAGATTATTTGGGGAGAATTCTTGACCCCAAAATACAGAATATTCTAACCCATGAACAGGGCTTAGATCTCTATTTACTTAGGTCTTCATTAACTTCTCTCAACTGTTATAATTTTCAGTGTAGAGACAGTTACCTGTTTTAGATATACCCTAGGTATTTTTTGGTACTACTATAAATGGAACTGTTAAAAAATATTTAACTTAAATGCTTTTTAAAATATTTAAAAATATCCCCTATGGATGCCATGAATTACATAAATACGCTTCTCTTTTTGCATAAGCTACACACTAATTCATTGAGTTACATTTCCACCTTCCAAATGCCATTAATGTTAATGTCAGGTTTTCTATGACAGACAGTATTAACCTCTTGGAAGGTGCCATGTTGTATCCCTGTCACTGCTCACATTCTTCTTTTGTTCCTATTTTTAATATCCTCATAACTATGTATCCTCATAAGGCAGCTTTTGGGAAGGGGGAAAACGTTTTTAGAAAGAAAAATGTTACTAACCTCTTTCTTTTTAGAGTACAGAATATATAAATGCATAATCTCCTAGGTAATACATTATAAGAACATCCATTCTTTTCTTTTTTAAAAAAGGGTTTACTTGGCTGGGAACGGTGGCTCACGCCTGTAATCCCAGCATTCTGGGAGGCCAAGAGGGGCAGGTGACCGGAGATCAGGAGTCTGAGACCATCCTGGCAAACGCAGTGAAGTCCTGTCTCTACTAAAAATACAAAATTAGCTGGGTGTGGTGGCACATAACCATAATCTCAGCTACTTAGGAGGCTGAGGCAGGAGAATCGCTTGAACCTGGGAGGCAGAGGTTGCAGTGAGCTGAGACCGCACCACTGCACACCAGCCTGGGCGACAATCGATCAATCAATCAATAGAATAAAAATTTTCTGAAAGGGCTATTCTATGCCAGCACTTTGTGAGGCTGAGGCAGGAGGATTACTTGAGAACAAGACTTTGAAACCAATGTGAGCAACACAGCAGACCCTGTCTCTACCAAAAAAATTTTAAAAATTAGCTGGCTATGGTGATGCGTGCCTGCAGTCCCAGATACTCAGGAGGCTGAGGTGGCAGGATCACTTGAGCCCAGGAGTTCATGCAGTGAGCTACAATTGCAACACTGCTCTTCCAGCCTGGGTGACAGAGTGAGACCCTGTCTCATTTAAAAAAAAAAAAAAAAAAGGGCGGGGGGAAGGGCATGTGTATTTTATGCTCTTTACTAACTTTTCAAGCACACAATTTTTCATCATTCAACCACTTCTCTATTATTTCTACCTAAGTAACCTATACAATTTAAGAAGTGTTTTCATAAACAGCATTTTATTTTCCCTTTCAACACCTATGACACTTAATGAAAGTTACATATTAACATCTTTGAAACGTTCTTGCAAAAAAAAAAAAGATTTTAAACCGAATCTCTTCTAGCTTATAGATCTAACCAGAACTAGATCTAGATCTTCAAGCTTCTAGATCTAACCTATATAAAGAACAAGATAAACAGAGCAATGTGTTAAATGATACCACAGTGATGCAGTATGCAAAATCTTGAACATGGAATGCTCTACTAGGCAAATAACCTAACTTTTCCAAAAAACTAAATTGCAAGAGACAGAAGGGGCATACCAACTAAATACAGTGTAGACTCTGTTGGAATCTTGTTTTAAAGAAAGCAAAAATAGGCCGGCACAGTGGCTCACGCCTGTAATCCCAGGACTTTGGGAGGCCAAGGCGGGTGGATCACGAGCTCAGGAGTTCAAGACCAGCCTGGCCAACATGGTGAAACCCCATCTCTACTAAAAATACAAAAATTAGCTGGGCATGGTGGCATGCGCCTGTAACCCCAGCAATTCGGGAGGCTGAGGCAGGAGAATTGCTTGAACCAGGACCTGGGAGGCAGAGATAGCAGTGAGCCGAGATTGCGCCACTGCACTCCAGCCTGGGCTACAAAGCAAGACTCTATCTCCAAAAAAAAAAAAAAAGCAGAAATAAAAAAAAAGTTTGAGACAATCAGGGAAATACAAACACTAATGATATTTGATAATTTTTAAAGAATTACTTTTTTGAGGTGCAACAATGGATTATGGTTATTTTTTTAAAGGATGTTTTAAGTTGAATGGGGCATATTTATGGATAAAATGATATGTGATCATCTGAGATTTGCTTCACCATAACTTGGGGAGACAAGTGAGACTATCAACAAATCAACAGTTGATTGGCTAGTACTGATAATTTTTGAAACTAGGTAATGAGTTCGTGATGGTCCACTGTACTATTCTAAATGTTTTGAACTGTTTCTTAATAAGAAAAAGAAAAAATTTGTACTTGATTCATTTGTACCTACTGAGGAAGGTTTCAAAGCATAATTAGAACGCAATGAGGGCAGTTAAGTTATATTCCATTTCAAAAACACTGTCAATTGTTTTCTACAGATTTTTCACCAAATCTTCACCCAGGTTTCTATGCCATGGTAAACTAAAATCTACCTCCACAATACACACATTCACAAACTATTTTAAAAGTAATTTTAGGATCAATGTACCCTAAAAAAATGGATCAAATAAAATGAGACACACTATTCATAGGTTATGGATTAAAGTCACATTGACACTCACTGAAATCACAACACTGCTATGAGTCATTAAGAATAAATGCATTAGCAAATGTAAACTGCTTTAATCTGATCAGGCAGTACTTGAATCGAACTGTTTTTCACTTAAATATTCTAGATAGAATGCTGTCAAACTGTAGAATTTAAGAGAATCAAACTGAGTAACTTCATACAAGCAGTCACCAACTTACACAGAAATCATAAATGCCTCCCTTTATACAAAGTTTCTAGTACTTTTACCTCTACATATTTTACAACATAACCCCCAACCCTCTTGAATTTTCCCCCAAACCTCCTACCCATTGCCAAGGTTCCACCTCACTGCCCCCTCTCACGGCCAGGGGGAAATAAGTTTCTGGAATCCAGAGTAAAAACTCAGGAACGCATTTTCCTACAGAAAAAAATATAAATTGTGATCTAGAATGCTGAGTATTATCATTCAGCTACACTATGTTTATAAAGGCTTTTATGAACTAAAGCCTAATAACCTAATAATTCAGAACAGTATTTCTATGAGAAAATGCATTCCAGGTTCAAAATAACTCAATGCAATCCCGTTGTAGGTTGGTGACTGTCTGTATAATGCCACCAAGTGATACATGTTTGACTAAACTCATAAAACATTACATTCCAAATGGCTCTGTAACATGATGGCTCACAGCTGTGAATGTGCTATGTCAATCATTTTCTAAGAAATATTAACCATGTTAATTTAGTTAAAAATTGCTATATACTTACATTTAGCATTTCAAAATCGTTACTTTCTAAGCCCTGGGTAAGAAGAACTGGAAAGCTATTCGTCTGGAGGTCTTCCTTTCCTTTTTTGTGTGTGTCTATATCCATTGCTCCCAGACGTTCTTCAATGCTAACCTACAGAACAGAAAGGATTGTTAATGTGTTACCAGACAAGACTTAAAGTAGTTTGGAGACAAAAAAAATAAAATAAAATAAAATAAAATAGATTTACACCTCAACCCTAGAAAACACTAATATGCTCATTCTTATTCCAAGAGAACCTCATTACCATAATGCCAATGTTGGAGACAAACATCTGCAATCCAAGCTTCCAGATTCTAGTGAAAAAAACAACGGCCCAAGAAGCACATAGTTTGAAAATGTTCATTCATAAAAATCCTTCTAAATGAAGATTCAGAAAAGGCAAGGACCTGGCATCTGATTCTAGAACACAAGACTTAAGACCTATTCTCACAGAAGCTTGCCCCACTATAACTATCCCTTGGTGTCACTCTCAGATCTGCAGGAGGAAACAAAATATTATTAAAAGGGCATAAAGAAATGTTATGTTCCCAAAACAATTTTTTAAAATGTCTTCCTATTTTTAACAGTGAGCTCCAAATGATGATTTATTAGCTAGAATATGCTATACTACAACTAAGTGTCCTTCCTTGATAAATACTTAACATTTATGTGTAAATAAACATGATGCAATTTGCTATACAAAAACTCAACTGTGGTCTGGGTGTGGTGGCTCTCACCTGTAATCCCAGCACTCTGGGAGGCTGAGGCAGGCGGATCACTTGAGCCCAGGTGTTCGAGACCAGCCTGGGCAACATGGCAAAACTCTGTCTCTATAAAAAAATTAGCCAGGCATAGTGGCATCCATCTATGGTCCCAGCTACTCAAGAGGCTGAGGTGGGAGGATCACTTGAGCCCAGGAGGTGGAGGTTGCAGTGAGCCAAGATCAAACCATTGCACCCCAGTCTGGGTGACAGAATGAGACCCTATCTCCAAAAAACAAACAAACAAACAAAAACAACAACAAACACCCTCAATTGTATAGAACTGATTCCTGATTAAATCAAGTCTAACATGTTCTGTCAGCCTCTTGGTTATCAAAAAGAAATTTGTTTTATGACTAACATAGCAAACAGATGTGCTTGGTTTATCCTAACACAAAAAAGATTAAAAAGGACATGGGGAAATTAAAAAGTTGAAACTAGGCCAAGCCAAAGAAAGTTGGCGCTTTATTTTTAAAGTCAGCTATCATGTAACTGAGGAATAACTTTTATGAACATGTTATGAACATGTTTTATGAAGCTATGTTATCCCCACCCCACCACCCAATAAACGCATTTAAAATCAGCTAAATTATCCTTCAAAAATTGGACAAAGAAAAAAAAAGAATACAAATTAAAGTAAAATCAGCTAAAGAAACCTAGTATTTCTGTAAGAATGAAACAGTTAAAATTCCAGATTCCTTATGTAAGAGGGAAGAATGTGAATGGAAGATAAAAAACAACTCTGCACAGACATGTACAGTAACCACAAAGGATTTTGGGAACTGAGGAAAAAATGAAGATCATAAACACTTAGGCAGTTATAATGACTATCACTTTTAGAGACCAACTGGCACTAGGTTAGCCAGGATTGCTCAGACAGCCAAGAGAAAAGAGGCATCACTGGAACTCAGCAACATGCGAAACCCAATGATAGTCATCACAGCAAGTCCTGGCTTGACTTATTCCATTTTATGTTACCCAGCTAACTACTAACTAATGGCCAAAACAGCACCCTCTTTAGTTACTGAAGGTTCCATCTTCTCTGTTAAACAAAGATGACAATCTAGAATTATGAAATCTATGATGGTGAAGATAAAAGAGAGCATAACAGGAGAAATCTCAGTAAATTTCTAAAGATTTAACTTTGGCTCTATCCAACACACTTGTTAGAATTTCCCAGTAATTTTAAATCACAAACTCAAATATATGGTCAAAGCAGTTGCATTACCTCATTTCCCCCTGACTTCCTCTTGCTCTCTACTTGCTCGGTTTGTGGAGGAGCGGGCTTGATAGCTGCATGATGACCAGGAATCCCAGGCACCAGAACTTTTGCTTCAGAATTCATCACTGGTGTCCTCACCTGTTCAACAGGAATAGCCAAAGTGTGAAAAAGGAAATCATACCTTAGTCCTTAAGTATCCTCAATGAGAAAACAGCTTTTAAAGGGCTCCTCTATTGGAAAAATGCAATATAATTAACTTGATATCAATTTAAGATATATTTTAAATTGAATGTTGACAAACTTTTTAAGTGACAATCTGAAAGACTGTGAATTTAAAGCTTACAATACCACATAAGAGTAAAATCCGACTGGCCTGACAGTAGTTGGTTATCAGAACTTATTAAATATTTAGTGTCACTAACGTTGGTATACAAGCCCCCACTACTAAATTCAACTGGCTTTAAAAAACTACAGATTACATAAAGACACAATGATTTTTAAAAATTTAAAAAGTGAAGTTACACATTTTACAACTACCTCCAGAATTCAATCTCTGCCAGAAATGCTCAGACAGCCAAGAGAAAGGTGTCATCTCTGAAACTCAGCCAGCAGCGAAACCATATGGATGTCATCATAGCATGTCTTGGCTTTCCCTTTCTCACTAAACCACGAAACACGTCCCCTACATGTAGACACCAAGTTATATGCAAAATGGAGCACCATGATGATGCTCCTATGCTTTTGTGGTATTATATT
Organism: Homo sapiens; assembly: GCF_000001405.40. Classification (NCBI taxonomy): domain Eukaryota; kingdom Metazoa; phylum Chordata; class Mammalia; order Primates; family Hominidae; genus Homo; species Homo sapiens. The sequence goes on along the minus strand of NC_000002.12, from coordinate 28,926,950 downwards.
CTAGCCCCATGACGGTTTTATTACACCCTGAAATACAGCATTCCTCTCAGCAAAGTAATGCTCTTTTAAGTACTGAGATTGATAAAAACTATCTACTGATAAATCTGATATTGATATTTATCCCTACATTCTTCCTGGCCCAGATGATCATGCATGGTGGGCAGGGAAGAACCACATCCAAGGTCTTCAACTGCTAGTCTTCTATTCATTCATTCACTCAACAAATCAGGAGTACAATCTTGACATCTAAAACCATAATCCCACAAAATTTATAAGACAAGAGAATAAAGATATTAAAGAATAAAAAACTCAGTTTAATCATAATACTAAGTAACAGTTCCATTCACCCAAAGAAATATTCTTTTTCTTAAAACTTCAAATTTGTAATGTGCTCACCTTTGTTATAGCTGTTTCTACTTTGGGGGCCCAGCAGTTTGAAATATCTCTTACTAAACACATATGAGGTTCTCTGGAGTTTAAAGCCTGAAAATATATTTTTTTTAAAGGGGAAGATGAGAGGAAAGAAAAAAAAAAGAGTGTCAAACAAAGCAACTGGGAATAAGAACAAAATGAAAAATAAATGACTACTTGTGCATTTTTATAAAATATTAAAAAGTATGGAAGACTTCCACACTCAATTGTTAACCACGATCACCACTCAGACTGACGGCAGTTAAGAAAAATGGTAATTCTGAAGACATTGGGTACCAAGGTTTACTTTCCTCAGCTATGAACTGCTTGAATTTTTCACATTTATTTTTTAAAGTTCAACAGAATTTTTAAACGTAACAGGTTTTAAAGAAAACGTATCAGTTCATCATCCTTTTAAGAAACAGTCTGCTCAAAATAGTAAATGGTTCTACTCTTAACTCTCCTATTGTCCTTTCCATAAGCAAGTCAAAGGTAGCACTGTTGATTAACAAAATGCATCTGTATGTCCTGACACGATATTAAATAGGATCGGGGGAGTCAGATGCAGCAAACCAATAAAGATTTAAAGTGATACATAATTCTATATGCCCATGTAATTAATCAATATCGGGAAAGATGCAAAAAAATAGTCAACAATGGCTGCAAACAGAGAGGGATGGAATTCACATATGGCAAGGAGCCATGTTTACAGCTTAACACTTTTCTCCTTTTTTTATTTTTTTAATTAAACCATATGCACGTATGCTTGTGTGAGCATGTAATATTCCACTCATAGTCTTGCTGAGGATCATACGAAGTAAACGCATTTTAAATGCAAGCTTAAGAAATAACCTTTTGTACATGCTTACGATAACTCAGAAGTCTTCAAGAAACGTCTCTAGTAAACAATGTTAAATCATTGCACTGCCCATTACATTTCCACTTAGAAAATCCAATGAGTGCTAATACTAAGAGATCCTATTATTAAGATTCATATCTTCGTAACTAGGCAAAATTCAACATAAGTCATACCTGTACTGACCAACTAGTAAGACACTAGGAACATGTGGCACTGAGCACTTGAAATGTGGCTAGTCCAAACTGAGATGTGCTAGAAGTGCAAAATACACACCAGATTTTTAAAACATAGTACCAAGGGAGAGGGCTGATATAAATAACTCAAACAATGCTTTAAACTGACCAGGTGTTAAATTATGTTGGATATAGAGCTCTCAAAATTAAAATAAACCACTCCATGAAGAAATCCTTTAATTAAAAAAGAATATATTATTTATCTTAAAGACCAATGTTGTTATTTTTAAAATCACTCTCTTCCATGGACACAGGGATGCTATATTGCTTTACTCCAGAGTAGCAGCTACGTACCACTCGCTCAATAGTAGGCTGAAACCAACTGCCATATACAAGCAACAATGACATTTTGTCTGAGCAAAAACCAGCAGCTAGAATAGGGATGGGTTTTGGTGTTGACTTCTTGCCTTTCCCAGGTGTTGCTATCTGAATTGTGCAGTTTGAAGTCAAAGGCTTTTTGCAGTACCTGGAAATGGAGGGGGAAATGAGATTAAAGAATTTGAAAAAACGTCTCATACTAACTCTCTGGAACTGACATCAAGTCACGAAATGTGACCCCCCTCTAGCCTCTATACTGCCATCAGGAGTCACCTGGGTCTCCGGAGCATGAGTACTCCTTTCAAGACCTCACCTACCTCTACCTATACTCAAAACCTCACCACCAAAATCAGACTGGAGACCTACTTCCCCCTCTGTCCCATTTTTTCAGGCCCCGCCAAGAAGCCCCAAGCTGCCAAACGTTCTCTTGCCACCCTGTACTTCAGGTCCTGTATGGTTCTGTCCAAGCCCTGTTCCAGTCAGTCCCGTCTCCAGTTTCTCCCAACCCCCAAAAGCCTCAGCAAGCCTCTGGAGTGTAGTTCCAGCAGCAAAATTGTGTCCTCAATGGCTTCTCTAGGGGCTCTCTTCACATTCTTCCTCTACCCTGGCTTGTCCCTGCAGCACTCCCAACTTGTACCTGTTTTCTCTCCCATACCATTTGTGTCAGGGGCCTTGGACATGATATAAATAAGTTCCCTGCTCTTCACTGACACTTCAAGACAATAGTCTATCCCTTTTTCGTCCCTAAAATCTTTTCAATTGTTGTCACCAGATACCAGCTACCACTCCCTCCTGCCGTCATCCAATGATCTCTGCCACCATCCACATTTCGTAAAGATTTCAGTGGCTTGAGGTCATTACTTCTAACATTACTCTAAATGAATTCCTTTCTTAGTGGTTTCCACACCCAGTGTCCAGGTTGATGGACACTCCTGACACTCTGATCTGTCAACTCCTTTCTCAAATGAACATGCCCCTCACTGTATTTCAGCCACAAACTCCTCACACCCTACGCATCTTATTACCACTTATTCTCCACAAGTGTACATCCTGCATAATATCCCAGGTGTAAGCATCTCATGATCCCTATCTTTCCAACTTACTCCTCCTATCATCCTGACTCCACAACTATCTCTAAACCCAGGATTTGGGGTCTCTACTTTAGCCTTTCACCCTCTATAGTCTATTCTCAATGAACGACTGTCTTAAAACTCAGGCCAAAGCTCATCGAATCCTCTGCTTGAAATCCTTCAATGGTTTGCCACTGCCCAGGTAGTCCTCACTGTGGCCAGCTACCTTTGGGTCCCACTTCTTCTGAGTCTCAATTATACATTCCAGGTACACACATCCTTCTATAAATAAAAGCTTCAAGAGTTACACACTAAAATGTTAACAGTTACCTATAGGAGCAGAACTCAATGGAGGGAGACTCAGGTTTTAAAATCAAGTGTTTGGGCATCCTGGGTGTTTTGAAATGAGTATACACTTTTTTCATAATCTGTTTATATTTAAATAAATTCCTATACTGGTATCTTAAAAGAAGGGTGCCAACTGACAACAAGAGGTTAAAACCATTTTAAAGCTTAACAAAATTTGTGCGCAAAACTGAGTCTCAGACCATGTTTACAGTATAATGACAAGGTTTGGCAAGTTTTCTGAAAAGGGCAAAATAATAAAAATTTCAGGTTCTCCAGACCACAAATGGTCTCCACTGAATGTGGCCTGCAAGCCGGTTTGCTGACTCCTGGTCTATGACTGCTACACAACCTGACAACAATACTCCCCTGTCTATCAAAACAACAGCACTGGCAAGGGGAAGTAAAGCACGCTCAAAGATAAATAAAACATCATCAAGGTTCACAAGTGAATCTCTCCAGCTTAGCCACTTTCTTCTGAAATGTATCATTAGAATTATCCAACATGTACTAAGGATACATCATAAAAAGCCAATCTCCTAATCACAAATATATAAATTTGACACCCAGTTTTAACTGGCAATGTATATAGTCATGTGGATAAAGAAAAATGCTTTCAAAATAATCTGGCTGAATAGTAATATGATGCAAAGAATAACCAGGTGGGAGTATGACCAAGTAACAAGTCAGGGAAAGAAACAAATTTCTTACTTGGAAAATTTCTTACTTACCCATTTAATATGTGTTCAAAAAGATGGACTTGACCATCTCTGCAAACAACAGCCAACTTGACAGGCTAAAAGAAAAATGTAACCAACGTATTATAATGGATAACATACTCCAGTCCCCAATCTACCTTATGAAAACTCAGCTGTCCTTCCCACCCCATTACACAACCAGAAAAAAAAAAAAAAAAACACAGCAAGAATCCATTTAAAAATAATTACCTCTGTCAAAATAACCATTAGTGGTGGTGTTGTCAAGATTCTAGATAAATGTTTAAGCCAAGAAGAGAACAGTCAAGGAGAATGAGCCCTCCAAGTTAGATGAACAAAGTTACTACCAAGTGCAAAGGCTGGCAACATGGAGCTGACATGCCCCTCTTGCCGGGAATACAGAAAAAGCCATTTTGCCTGTATGGCTAGGAAGGGGTGTTGTAAGACCTCATCGCCTCTCTTCCTCCATCCCCGGTCAATGTAAGTGGCCTAAGCTGTCTGGAGATGCCCCTACCACCTAGAAAGGGTTGTTGTAAGCCCTCGCTGCCTCTCTCCCTCCATTCACTATCAATGTGAGTGGCCTAGGCTCTCTGCATGCTCCTACCTACCAGACTCTTGCTGTCAGCCTCTCTAAAGCTCATTTTTTAAAGTTCTGGAACTTTCTTAAGGAAAGCTTAAATGAAAGCACTTCCAAAACACTGCTATTCCTACTCTAATTATAAAGGTAATGAGAGAATTCAGGGAGGAGCCAATACATTGAGAGAAAATGAAATATATAAAGTGTTTTAAGACTAACTTTGCACAACTGTAATATATCAATTAAAAACTAGAAAAAAGAGACTAACTTTTGTTGTGAAAAACAACTTTGAAAATGTTTAAAATTCTTTACTGGTGTATTTAAAAATAAGAAATCTCAGAAAGGAGAGATTTTATTAAAGAAAATTTCATTCTTTCTGACGTTTAGTGCTACATGACAGTTGTCAGGGGAGGGCCAGACACAGTGGCTCAGGCCTGTAATCCCAGCACTTTGGCCGAGGCGGGAAGATAGCTAGAGCCTGGAAGTTCGAGACCAGACTAGGAAATATAGTGAAACTCTATTTGCACAAAAAATACAATAAAAATTAGCAGAGTATGGTGGGCACATGCCTGTAGTCCCAGCTACTCACAAGACTGGGGTGGGATCACTTGAGCCCAGGGAGGTCAAGGCAACAGTGAGCTTTGATGGCACCACTGCACTCCAGCCTGGACAACAGGGTGAAACCCCATCTCAAAAAAGAAAAAGAAAAAGTTTAGGGGAAGAGATCATTTCTCCGCCATCAAATTTTCTAGTTCCCCGTTCTGCAACTCCAACTGACAGGCATCCAAATCTAATCTCTAACTGTCTATAGAAAGGTTGGTAACTTTTGAGAATAAAATAAGCAGATTATTCTGCAATATCATAATCAAAGTTTTGTTTTGGAATTTTAATTCTAACTTACTGCTGTTAACTACAATCTTACATGAAGTGCCAGAATTAGAACTTGGCTTCCTGATCCATCATTCCTAGTTTAATATCTTAAAAAATCATTTAAAAGGCTGGGCACAGTGGCTCACACCTGTAAACCCAGCACTTTGGGAGGCCGAGGCAGGCCGATCACAAGGTCAAGAGATCAAGACCATCCTGGCCAACATGGTGAAACCCTGTCTCTACTAAAAATACAAAAATTAGCTGGGCATGGTGGCATGCACCTGTAGTCCCAGCTACTCAGGAGGCTGAGGCAGGAGAATCGCTTGAACCCGGGAGGCAGAGGTTGCAGTGAGCTGAGATTGTGCCACTGCACTCCAGCCTGGCGACAAAGCAAGACTCCGTCTCAAAAAAAAAAAAAAATTTTTTTTAAAAAGTTCTGCTCCCTTCTTTATTATCAATAATTTTAAATATAATGCCAATAGTATTCCAAGATAAACTCTGAATCAAACCTAAAGTTAAATCTAAAAGTAGCAACAGAATTCAGTCAGAAAAAGAGAAAGTAAAAATTCAGTCTTGCCCAGGCACAATGGCTCACACCTGTAATCCCAGCACTTTGTGAGGCCAAGGTGGGCAGAACACCTGAGGTCAGGAGTTCAAGACCAGCCTGGCCAACATGGTGAAACCCCATCTCTGCTAAAAATACAAAAATTAGCCGGGCGTGATGGTGCGTGCCTGTAGTACCAGCTACCCAGGAGGCTGAGACAGAAGAAATGCTCGAACCTGGGAGGCAGAGTTTGCAGTGAGCTGAGATCACACCACTGCACTCCAGCCTGGCTGACAGAGGGAGACTGTCTCAAAAACAAAAACAAACAAAAAAAATCCCTCAGTCTATTCTCTACATAGACTAGTGGCAAGTTTTGCTACTCCAAGGAAAGTGATTTTTCTTCCATAAATTACTTGTATTTAGACTTAAAGAACCTACCTCTAAAAATCGCACACACACAAATAAAGGTTTAAAACTTTTGGTTGAGTGGGGTGGCTTATGCCTGTAATCCTAGCACTTTGGGAGGCCAAGGTGGGCAGATCACTTGAGGTCAGGAGTTCAAGACCAGCCTTCCCAACATGGCAAAACCCCATCTCTACTAGAAAAACACAAAAATTAGCCAGGCGTGGTGATATGCACCTGTAATCCCAGCTACTTGGGATATTGAGGCAGAAGGATCATTTGAACCTGGGAAGCAGAGATTGCAGTGAGCTGAGATCGCACCACTACACTCCAGCCTGGGTGACAGAGCAAGACTCTGTCTCAAAAAAAAAAAAAAAAAAAGAAAGAAAAAAAATTTATTTTTATTTTTTCAGAAAGTCACTTCAAGTTAAATCAATCTCTTTATTTTACAGTCACAGGGGGCCAGGCACGGTGGCTCACACCTGTAATTACAGCACTTTGGGAGGCCGAGACAGGCGGATCACTCAAGACTCAAGGCCAGGAGTTTGAAACCAGGCTGGCCAACATGGCAAAACCCTGTCTCTACTAAAGTACAAAAATTCGCCAGGCATGGTAGCGCAGTCTATAATTCCAGCTACCAGGGAGGCTGAGGCAAGAGAACTGCTTGAACCCAGGGGACAGAAGTTGCAGTGAGCCAAGACTGCACCACTGCACTCCAGCCTGGGCGACAGAGACTCTGTCTCCAAAAAAAATAAAATAAAATAAAAATAAAGTTATAGGGGAAAATACCAAAATGTTTCTCATCAGTTCCCTACGATCAGAATATCCAATTATCAGAATAGTGAGGGCACTGATCACACTGAATGTACACAAGCATGTCCAACTTTATAATAACATTAAATCATTATTGTAATTAAGTGTAGGATTCCTACTAGTTTGTTTTTTTTTTTGAGACGGAGTCTCGCTCTGTCACCCAGGCTGGAGTGCAGTGGCACTATCTCGGCTCACTGCAAGCTCCACCTCCCAGGTTCACGGCATTCTCCTGCCTCAGCCTCCCGAGTAGCTGGGACTACAGGCGCCCGCCACCAGCCCCGGCTAATTTTTTGTATTTTTAGTAGAGACAGGGTTTCACCGTGGTCTCGATCTCCTGACCTCATGATCCACCTGCCTCGGCCTCCCAAAGTGCTGGGATTACAGGTGTGAGCCACAGCGCCCAGCCCCTACTACTTTTCTTAAAGACAAAAATCTTTATAGGGAATCACTGATCTGATCATCAATGGCCCCCATTTCATATTAGAAAGCCAAGTTTATTAGCAACAGAAGCTATATGTATTTATTTACTTATTTACTGAGACGGGGTCTCACTGTCACCCAGGCTGGAATGCAGTGGCAGGATCATAGCTCACTACAGCTTCGACCTCCCAGGCTCAGGCAATCTTCCCACCACAGCCTCCCAAGTATGTGGGACCACCAGTGCATGCCACCATGCACAGCTAACTTTTTTATTTTTTGTAGAGACAGGGTCTCACTATGTTGTCCAGGCAGGTCCTGAACTCCTGGGCTCAAGTTATCCACCACACCCAGCCAGAAACATTAAACCAAAATTTTTTTTGTTTTAAACCAATGCTTTTTCCCCTGAAACACTTTTTTAAAGTATTAAAACATGATGATCATCTCTAAATCCTAGAGGTTAATGCAAAATATGCATTTCAAAACTAAATTGAGTTAAAAGTGAATATCCTTAACTTGCATTAGAAACGTGGGATTCTGTGCAAATCAAAATCCTGCAAAGCTTCAGTTAAACAGAAACAGCAAGCACTTCAATGACAACAGGTTTAATCCTTTAATCATCGAATCCCTAATTTTTACATGAAAAATTCTTTTTTTATAGGCAGCAAACAAGAGGACATCACTCTTATAAAATACATACATATATAGGCTGGGCATGGTGGCTCACACCTGTAATCCCAGCACTTTGGGAGGCTGAGGTGGGCGGATCACCTGAGGTGGGGAGTTCGAGACCAGCCTGACCAAAATGGAGAAACCCCATCTCTACTAAAAAATACAAAATTAGCCAGGCATGGTGGCACATGCCTGTAATCCCAGCTACTCGGGAGGCTGAGGCAGGAGAGTTGCTTGAACCCGGGAGGCAGAGGTCGTGGTTAGTCGCGACCGTGCCATTGCACTCCAGCCTGGGCAACAAGAGCGAAACTCCGTCTCAAAAAAATGAAAAAAGAAAAAAAGAGATAAAAAAAGAAATACACACACACACACACACACACACCTTAGTTAGGAGCTATCACCAACAATTTCATCTGATTAAAGAATCATATATACATACTCCTAGTAACAAAATCCACCTGAACAACTTTTCTTAATTCACATAATGAATTCCTGAATTTACTACCGTCCTGTACAAACTTTTCCCTTCCCCCATAAGAGATTATTACAGTGATTTAAGTTCCTTTGAACAGTCTAAAATTTGTTACAGTTTGTTGTTACTCCCTCAGGTCCTCTCTATTTCTCAAGTCATTAAATCATCAAAACCTTGACTGTAAAAATAACATCTGTGAAACCCAAAAACAAATTCTCAAAAATCGAGCCATTTACCTCTTCTTTGTTTTCTGACAAAGTTAAGTCAATATAGACAGGTTCATCGGTAACTGTAAATGACATCACTGCACTCTTTTCTTTGTTTTCTGATCGGACCTGCCTAGATAACAAAACCAGCAAGTTAGATAGCAAGACAGATTTAATTTTCTTCCTAAAAAGGCAAACACCTAAGGAGGCATGGAGATCAGCACATGAGATTCCCAATAGCTTTGTCATCTTTTGAAAACTAGTAAAGTGACTAAAGATCAAAACAACGGAAGCATCCATGTCACTACCATATAACATGGTTGCTTGAGAAAAGAGAAAGCAATAATGCATTTGTGGCAGATTTAAACAATGAGTAACATTCTGTTTTTTTCTATTGATCTGTCTGTCTATCCTGACACTAATACCACACTGTCATGATTAGTGCCGCTTGATAATAGGTCTTGAAATCAATCTTAGTCTTCCAATGATTTTCTTCTTTTTCAAAATGATTTTGCCTATTGTCATTTGTTATTTCCATTTGAATTTTAGAATCAGTCTGTCAATTTCTCAAAAAAAGCCTAAGATTTTGAATGCGTCTGCGTTGAATCTGTAGGTCAATTTGGGGAGAATTAACATTATAACGGTATTGAGTAAAGAGCACAGAAACAGACCTATATATACACACATATGCAGTTGATTGTCATTATTCATGGATTCCTTATTTGCAAAGTCATCTTTTGCAAAATTTTATTTGTAACCTCAAAATCACTGTAACAATTTTATGCTCCTTCAGGGGTGTAGACTAGCGAAAAATCTGAGTTGCCTAACACATTCAATGTCTTCAGCTAAGGTAGCTACATTCTGCCTTCCCGTTGCCGTTCTCATACTATCAACAAGTAGTTCACCTAGCACCATGTTTTTTGCATTTTTGTGCTTTCTTGGAGATTTCACTAATTACAACGGCCCCCAAGCATAATTCTGAAGTGCTCTATGGTGTTCCTAAGCACAAGAAGACTGGGATGTGCCTTACAGTGAAAATATGTGTTAAATAAGCTTCACTCAGACATGAGTTGTAGTGCTCTGAATTCAAAGTTAATCAATCAAAAACATATGCATTAAATAAGATATCTTTAAATAGAAACAAACATAAAACAAGGTTTTATATATTAATGACAAAAATGTTACAAGCTGGCTACCTTTACAATATAAATAATATAAACAAAAAAATAAATAGATGAAAAAAATGTTACAACTGGAGGCTCATGGGAACCTAAGCTATTTCCCCAAGGAGTAATGTTATTGACTAAATCAGTGTTCATGGGGACTTTATAGGACTTAACAATTATAAATAACGAGAACCGATATAGGGATAAGCGTGTGGGTGCAGGGATGTGTGGGTGTGTGTAGGTGTTCGGGGTTATAGGGGGAGAGGTATATGCAAAACCAAGTCAGCAGAGATAATCTTTTCAACAAATGATACTGGGATCCCTGGATATCCATAATGCAAAAACATGAATCTTAACATCCCAGCCATTAGAGAAAGCCAATTTAACAACACAAAATACCACTACCCACCTATTAGAATGGCTAAAATTAAATGCTATACCAAGTGTTGATGAGGATGTGAAGGAATTTTCATTTTTATACACTGCTGGTAAAAATGCAAAATGCTACAACCATCTTGAAAAAAAAATCTGGCAATGTCTTGAAAAGCTAAACGTACACCTATCATGATCCAGCCATTACACTCCTAGGTATTTACCCAAAAGAAATGAAATCACATGTCCATATAAAGACTTGTACACAAAAAATGTCCATAGCAATTGTATTTGTAATGGCCCAAAACCTGTCAACAAGTCTCTGAGAGATTACAAGAAGACATGAGGAAACACATTCATTATCTTGTTTGTGGTGAGGGTTTCACAATGTATATGTATGTTACAACTCATCAGTTTGTACACTCTGGTATGTGCAGTTCATTACATGTCAACTATACTTCAATATAGCTGTTTTTAAAATTTAGGTACAAATTTTAAAAAATAATACTTAACAAACATGATTTACAAACATGATTCAAATCAGCTTCTTTGGAGTTCAGAAGAAAATTAAGAGTTGATCTGATAAATTATAAATGTTTTCATGCAAAAATTCTTAGTAACATTCATTCTAACATGAAGTCATTCATGTATGCTCAAAATCTCTGCCATCAGACCACTGCACAGTATCTTAACCAATCAATAGAAGATAGTACTGGGGTTTGATTTATCTTTTAATCTTCATTCAGCAAGAAGCCTTCGAATGTTATATCCACAGAAATGTGTCTTTCAAAGGAAATTATCAGGGAACTTTAGGCCCGCTCTACCTATCCCCATGCAAATTTACACAGCTCATTGGGCAGCTTTTCAATATGGGTTTTAACATTTTCCTTTTGTGTGTGTGGTTAATTTTAAGTTTACTTCCTTTATTCCAGGAAGCACCCACATATAATAGACACTATTCAGGTTCTTAAGATTAACATAAAGCAACTTTTATTTTATTTAATGAAATTTTGTAGCTGGAGACTCCTAGGTATGAGGAAGCCTAAGCGGTAAAACATTTGAGATTGAAGCAACTCAATAATGCCAGGGGACCCTGGTAGTAGATTTTAATTTTTTAGCACTACTGATTTCTTATGTAATTGTTAGACCCTCTAAAACTAAAAGAATTTATCTCCATTGGCTCTTCTCAAAAATCAAACACGAAACAAAACCAAATCCGTTTAATTACAAGAGACATAATTAGGAATTATGGTTTTGCTGGTGGTTTTGAAGGTAAACAGAGGCCCACATTTTGACTTCTGACCCCCACACAACTACCTTTTTAAGGAATACATATTGGATGAGTCCCACTTCTAAATGAGTATTATCTTGTATAAATTCATAGTAACTTTATATGGTGAAGAGCATGCTCAACTAATTATTACTAAGATGAGAACTGTCCATAAACAGCAAGGTGGTTTTTTTTTCAAGCCAACTTCACCATCAGATGCTGCAATAAAATCCAGGAAATTTCTTTAAAAACTTTTTGATGACTTTGTATCACCAAATTTTTTATTTTTTGAGATGGAGTTTCGCTCTGTCGCCAGGCTAGAGTGCAGTGGCGGGATCTCGGCTCACTGCAACCTCCGCCTCCTGAGTCCAAGCAATTCTCCTGCCTCAGCCTCCCGAGTAGCTGGGACTACAGGCGTGCGCCACCATGCCCGGCTAATTTTTGTATTTTTAGTAGAGACAGGGTTTCACCATGTTGGCCAGGATGATCTCGATCTCTTCACCTCGTGATCCGCCCGCCTCGGCCTCCCAAAGTGCTGGGATGACAGGCATGAGCCACGGCACCCGGCCTGATTTTTACTTTTAAAAGAGGTTTCAAAGGGAACTAGTTAATAGCAGCTACTGCAAAAAGGAGTTACTGGAAATTCTGAGACAGCCAAGCAATTTTATGCCCTCCATAAACAGACACTACTGCATTAACCCAGTGGTGCCATATATTTCAAAATCAAAGGTCTTTCTAAATTTTTTAAAAGATATTCTAAATTGCCCAACCACAGAAATGTTCAGTCCACTGTATCACTAAACAACCACAGGAGGCTTTAATACATAATGCACTTAATTTTTTCTCAGAAAGATCTGTTTTGTAGGCAGGCTCAATTTTTTATTATGACTCAATGTAAATCCAACATTAGATACAACAAATAAAGTCCCATATTCATAATTTACATTAACTACATAAGCTCTGACAGATTCTTTCAATGCTACCTCCCAAATCCAAAAGAACTACATACCAGACATTAAGTAACCGGTCATGTACTGCTCCAGATAAGAAATAAAGACCTGTAATTCCATCAAAGGGCTGGCTCTCATTAGGAGGTCTGATGGTAGTGAACATCAGTGACGAAACTGGCGTTGCATGTCCTGTGAAATGCTAGAGAAAGTTAAATCTCAGTTAGGAGAGCAGATTCAAAGCAGGGACAAAAATTAATAGTATATATTATCAAAACAAGCCATATGTGATACATATCGGAAAGGAGAGCTCCACGATGAAGTAACTGTTCAATTCAATTCTAAGCAAATAAGGTTATTTGTGCTATAATTCTCCCACTTTTTAAAAAAATCCATCTGAAAATACTGAAAATTTAGATGTTCCTTCTAACTCCCATGACCCTACCACTCCGCACCTTTGTTTCTTACATTCTTGAATTAAAGATTCACTTAATTCTATCCATTTTAAAAGGCATACTTTGGGTGCTCAGACACAGCCAAGGAATTGTAGGTCCTCATTTTACTCTCAGTGAGTCGAAACCACAATATTAAGGCATCATCACAGCACCAAATATTCCGTAAGCCCTGAGTGAAAGCTTTTTCCTCCTCCAAAAATATAATACTAAATCTCCACAGTCAAATACAGTAAGTGGACTAAATGCTGGATGTAGGCTAGAAATCAAAATTACCATAATCATCACATAGTAAAAACTTTTTTATTAAGAAAATCTTTTTTGAGCTAGGCCTGGTGGCAAGCGCCTATACTCCCAGCTACTCAGGAGGCTGAGGTGAGACATCGCTTGAGCCTGGGAGGTCAAGGCTGCAATGAGCTATGATGGCGTCACTGCAGTCCAGCCTGGGCGACAGAGAGAGACCCTGTGTCAAAATCTGTTTTGTTTTTTAAAAGGTAACTTTCTTTTTTGTGGATACATAGTTGGTGTATATAATAAAATTTAAATTTTAAAAAAACCTTGTTTCGGCTGGGCGCGGTGGCTCACGCCTGTAATCCCAACACTTTGGGAGGCCGAGGCAGGCAGATCACGAGGCCAGGAGATCGAGACCATCATAGCTAACACGGTGAAACCCTGTCTCTACTAAAAAATACAAAAAATTAGCCACGCGTGGTGGCGGGCGCCTGTAGTCCCAGCTACTCGGGAGGCTGAGGCAGGAGAATGGCGGTGAACCTGGGAGGCGGAGCTTGCAGTGAGCCGAGATCACGCCACTGCACTCCAGCCTGGGTGACAGAGTGAGACTCCATCTCAAAAAAAAAAAAAAAAAAAAAAATCTTGTTTCTTGAATATTGGTTCTGTTCATTTTTCCAATACGTTTGAAGTAGACATGTCTAGTCTCTTTAACATCAACAAATCAGATTAGGAGGCTAACTTTTATCCACTAAACTATTTGATGTACCTGACAATGAAGAATTTGTATTCTTAAAATAATATCTTATGGTTCAAACTTCTGCCTTTCTCTGTGTTTACTCTATAATTTTTATGCTTACAAATAATTTGATTCGCTCACCCTGTAGACTTCTTTGGTCTCCAAAACCCATAGTTTGATTGTTCGACCAGCTGAAAGCAACATCTTTCCATCTGGGCTGATACATAGGGAACTGACACTGCTATTGTCGCCTTTCCATTTGCTATATTGTGAAGAGAAAAAAAAGCATCTCAATACATGAGAGAAAACTTTACTCAGAGCAGAAAATAACAAAAAAACAAACTGAACAATCATTAAAAATATCGCCTCAGGTCCTGTGACAATTACATTCCCTAAAAGCTTGTGTCAGGTAACTAACCCTGGACATACTACTGTGATAAAAGCTTCATTGATTGCATTCCTTAACACAGCACAATCTCCCTTTGGCAGGCATGGGATAAAGATTCTCAACAAGTATCAGAAAATGAGTGAGTGAGAGTGATAAGAATGTAAAATGGGTAGTTGTACATCCTGTGACCCAGGAGATGAACTTTGCGAATGTCCAGGAAAGTTCCATACTGGCTAGACCTCCCCAAGCCCATCCTAACCCTACCTCAATTCTCGCTTTCTCTGGAAGGCTGGCCTTTAATTAATTCCCTTAATAACACAAACGATTTCTCTAAAGTTGCAACCCAAAAAGGTTATTTCTACCCTAAATCCACATGAATGTACCCCAATCTGACAGGTAAAAATTAATTAGGTACAAATGACTCCTTTTCACTACCTCAAATATGATTAGAAGCTGGAGTCTTTGCTGTTTGTTACTCATATTAATGCTGTCATAGGCAATAGGGAACTTGGCTATTCACTTATAAGAAGTAACAGCAGGGGCAGGGCATGGTGGCTCATGCCTCTAATCCCAGCACTTTGGGAGATTGAGGTGGGCAGATCGCCTGAGTCCAGGAGTTCGAGACCAGTCTGGGCAATACAGCGAGACCCTGACTCTACAAAAACTACAAAAATTAGCCAGGCATGGTGTAGTAGTCCCAGCTACTCTGGAGGCTGAGATGGTAGGATCGCTTGAGCCCAGGAGGCAGAGACTGCAATGAGCCAAGATCGCACCACTGCACTCCAGCCTGGGTGACAGAGCAAGACTCTGTCTCCAAAAAAAAAAGGCAAGTAACAGTAGGAACCTGAATAACAAAAGAGGTTATTAAGAGGCTGGGCGCGGTGGCTCATGCCTGTAATCCCAGCACTTTGGGAAGCCGAGGTGGGCGGATCACAAGGTCAGGAGATCGAGACCATCCTGGCTAACATGGTGAAACCCTGTCTCTACTAAAAATTCAAAAAAATTAGCCAGGCATGATGGAGGACGCCTATAGTCCCAGCTACTCAGGAGGCTGAGGCAGGAGAATGGCGTGAACCTGGGAGGCGGAGCTTGCAGTGAGCTGAGATTGCACCACTGTACTCCAGCCTGGGCAACAGAGCAAGACTCCGTCTCAAAAAAAAAAAAAGAGGTTATTAAGTGGAAGAAAACGTATGGTTCTGCCAGTCAACAATGGAGTAAGTCAAATCAGTCATTAGAAAAACAAAATTAGATTCCTACATTATGCCACACATGCAAAAAAATTAACTGATTAAATTTAAAAGTATTTAAACAGGGTATGAGAATGTTTTTATAATCCTGGGGTTAAGAAAGGTCTTCCACAGCAATTACAAACCAGAAATTATAAAGAAAAAAAAAAAGACCTGATTTAATTACATAAAACTTCTGCTCCACAAATAAGTCATAAAATTAAAATATAAGTAAAAAGTGGCCAGGCGCAGTGGCTCACATCTGTAATCCCAGCACTTTGGGAGGCCAAGGCAGGTGCATCACTTGAGGCCAGGAGTTCAAGACCAGCCTGAACAACATGGTGAAACCTTGTCTCTACTAAAAATACAAAAATTAGCCAGGGCTGGTGGCAAACACTTGCAATCCCAGGTACTCGGGAGGCTGAGACAGGAGGATTGCTTGAACCCCGGAGGCAGAGTTTACAGTGAGCTGAGACACCACTGCTGCACTCCACCTGGGTGACGGAGTGAGACCCTATCTCAAAAAAAATAAAAATAATAATTATATATATATATATATTTACACACACACACGCACGTTATCTGTATATATATGTAAAAAGCTAGAAAAAAGTATCAAAAATATATATTACAAAGGATTAATACTCACAATACACAAATAGCTCCTTCATATCAATAAGAAAAAGAGCTCAAAATAAAAACAGACAAAGGATATAAACAACTAAACAGGCAATTCATAGGAAAAATACAAATTGTTGATAAACACGAAATTCAACCTCACTGATAATCAAAGAAATGCAGCTATAATGTACGAGAGAACTTTTCCTTTACCCTTACCAGCTTCTGAAATTTTTGCCAATTTATCGATTCCCACAGCTTCAATTCTCATTTACATTCAATATTCAACATATACTTACTACGTTGATACATATATAAAAGACACAATCGCCATCCTGCCTAGACGAGGCTGATAAGCTTCCTTCATCTACTTCCCCACTCAGTATTGAAAATGCTAGTTAGGCTAATAATACCTTCTATCCTCCCCACACCCTAATCCCTCAGGAGCTTTGTAACTCAAAGCATAAATCAGCATGATCTGGGAACTTGTGAGAATTATGCACTCTCAAGCTCTAACCTAGTTACACCTACTAAATCAGATCTGTATGCACAAGTTAAGATGTATGTACATTTAAGCCTTAAGAAGCACTAGATGAAAAAATTCCTCTCTGGGAAATGTAACTGGTTCCAGTGGAATGATATACACATATTGGCATTTGACGGCTTCCCAATCACTCTATAAATGAAGCACAACAATTGAAAAGTCACACACTCACAACCAAGCCTTCCAATCAATACTTTTTCCCCCAAACAGGGTCTCACTGTGTTGCCCAGGCAGAGTGCAGTGGCAAGGTAACAGCTTGCTGCAGCCTCGATCTCCTGAGCTCAAGTGACCCTCCTGCCCCAGCCTCTCAGGTGGCTGGGACTACAGGTACACACCACCACATCTGGCTAATTTTTTTCATTTTTGTAGAGAGGGGGTTCTCACTATGTTTCCCAGGACAGTCTCGAACTCCTAAGCTCAAGCAATCCTTCCACCTCAGCCTTCCAAAGTGCTGAGATTTTAGGCATAAGCCACCACGCCCAGCCACCAATCAGCTTTTTAATGCTTTGTTTCCAAATAGCAACAGGCAGCTCAGGATCTCCAGTGATTTGAAGGATGCCTTAAACATAAAAGAGGCCAAATCAAACAAATCAAAACACACTCACAATAGACAGGATGTAAGGAACAAAAGAAGATAATTCATGGCTAGGCATGGTAGCTCACACCTGTAATCCCAGCACTTTGGGAGGCCGAGGCGGGTGGATCACCTGAGGTCAGGAGTTCGAGACCAGCCTGACCAACATGCTGAAACCTCTACTAAAAATAAAAAATTAGCCAGGCATGGTGGCAGGTGCCCATAATCCCAGCTACTCGGGAAGCTGAGGCAGAAGAATCGCTTGATTCCGGGAGGCAGAGGTTGCAGTGAGCTGAGATCGCGCCATTGCAATCCAGGCTGGGCAACAAGAGCGAAACTCCATCTCAAGAAAAAGAAAGAAAAGAAAAAAAATCTCGGGATAATCATCATTCAGCAGAACTTACAAGACAGAGAAGTTTTCCAAGAAATGAATAAAATTGACTGACTGATGTGTCCAGAAACAACTGAGAAGATTTATACCACTAATAGAGAATGACCTAGTAACTAATGAAATGAAAACCAAGCAATTATAAACCCCAAGAAAAGCAAAATTTTGTACAAAAAAAAATATTAAACATAGGAAAGTCTAAGGCTCAGCTGTAACAATAATTAACTAGTCATAATGTAAACAAATTCTGCTTATCAAACACTGTGATACAACAATATTGAGAGAACTGGAAGGGGGAAAAGAAGGTAAGAGCTAAATCCTCATCTTCCACAACAGAAAATCAATACATAGCGTCTGGAACAGAAAACAAAATCCAAGTAACGGCAGCGTAAGAATGCTAACGATGAAGCTGGAAACATAATGAAATTATGAGACAACACAGTTTAGTGTATGAGAGGTCAGGCTCTTGTTTAATCTACTTCAAAACAGCAAAGTGGGGCTAAAGTTCACCTCACAGGCTTATGATTACATACAATAAAACGCACACGTGTTGAATGGCTCTTTGAACATTACTAGTCCCTATGTGAAGGACCTATCTTTGTGACCTCTCATCCAGAATACAGTAACACAGGCCCTACCCCAGACCTACTGGATCAGAACCTCTGCAGGCATTTCTAACAGGTTACTAACATAGAAACTACTGTGTCTGCTACAAGTAAATGGAGCACAAATACTCACTGAGCCATCAGGGAGATGGTTTACTTACCTGCATCTCCAACCCCAAACCCCTACTTAAATCTAAGCCTCTAGCACCACCCTGTCTGCTGGGTCTTATCTTTCACATAATGTTATTTCAAAGCCAACTTGTCTAAAAACCCCAAAACCATGTATCTCTTCTGACCATAATTTCTATCCTCTACCATGCATTATCCCCCTAGTACCTCCTCCCTCTAAATTGGTTTACTTGCCTAGTTAGCAAAGCTGAAAACTAAACTCAATATCCCAACTCAATGATTGCGATCATTCCCATTTTAACTTCCCACACTTACCATCCTACAACCAGATTACAGTAACAATCTATCTGCCTTCTCTGCCTTTAACTAGCTCCTTCCCCTAAACTCTACACATTGCTGACAGATTACTTTTTCCTAAAGCATTACTCTGAATACTCTATCCCAGAGACACTGACCTGCAGTGGCTTTTTTTTTTTGAGACGGAGTCTCGCTCTGTCGCCCAGGCTGGAGTGCAGTGGCGTGATCTTGGCTCACTACAAGCTCCGCCTCCCGGGTTCACGCCATTCTCCTGCCTCAGCCTCCCGAGTAGCTGGGACTACAGAGGCCCGCCACCACGCCCAGCTAATTTTTTTTGTCTTTGTAGTAGAGATGGTACCCCATGTTAGCCAGGATGGTCTCAGTCTCCTGACCTCATGATCCTCCCGCCTTGGCCTCCCAAAGTGCTGGGATTACAGGCGTGAGCCACCAAGCCCAGCCTTTTTTTTTTTGAGACAGCGTCTTGCTCCATCACCCAGGCTGAAGTGCAGTGGCACAATCATGGCTCACTACAGCCTCAACCTCCCAGGCTCAAGCAATCCTCCCACTTCAGACTCGTATCTGGGGCCACAGGCCATGCATGCCACCACACCCAATTTTTTTTTTTTTTTTTTTTTTGTAAAGAGGTGGTTCTCACTATGTTGTTCAGTCTGGTCTCAAGCAATCCTCCCACCTTGGCCTCCCAAAGTGCTGGGATTACAGGCATGAGCCACTGCACTTGGCCAATGGCTCTCTCTTGCATACCAGACAGAATCTAAAATCCCAACTGTACCAGAACTAAAAAGAGCAGCATTAGAATCCCTTCTCTGGCAGCTGCAGGACCATGGGCATCATTTTCCTCATGAGGGTCCTCAACTA
Organism: Homo sapiens; assembly: GCF_000001405.40. NCBI lineage: Eukaryota > Metazoa > Chordata > Mammalia > Primates > Hominidae > Homo > Homo sapiens. The sequence goes on along the minus strand of NC_000002.12, from coordinate 28,907,206 downwards.
CACAGTAGGTGGAACTATATTCAACAGCCCACATTTACTAAGCATCTCCTATACGGCCAACCTCAGGATCAGGTGGTTGAACTATAATCAATGGTCTATAATCTTTATCTATGACACAAGGCCAGGCTCTTAGGATCCTTTGACCCATATCATCTGCCATCCATTATCCCCTAGTATGTCCCTCCTCTGAATTAGTTTGCTCTGTGCCAAGTCAATCTTTTACATTCCTGTCTCCCTCCATTTGTTCTTGCCATCTCCCCAACTTCTTTTCTCCACCCTTGAAAGCATTCTCCCACCCTCCTCTATCCAAATCTTACCTGTCCTAGAAGGTCCAACTGAAATCCCTTCTCCTCCTCCAGGCCTTCCCAACACTACTGTACTCGGCTGACAAATAGTCACATGCTACCTTGTGACATCTCTCATACAGTTGCTTTATTTTTGTACCATTTTTAGCTTTTATGTATTTTATGTGTTTTAGTATTTTATGTATTAAAATCTTGCATGCTCGATTTGATTAAAAGTTCTTTGTAAATGGAACCTATAACCTTATTAATGTCTGCATTCCCCACAAGTCCAGCATTTATCCACGTCTATTGCATTTCCTGATACCATGAATGTTACTCACCACTTTACTTTGCATGTCTGTACGTTCCATTCCACAATATGTTTATCATCTGAACAACTATATAAACAGCCACTGTCTTGATGCCACTGTATGCAGTTGACTCTGTTGTCATGTCCACCACTCTGTAGATTAAAAAAAAAAAAAAAATTTAAGGCTGGTCTCAAACTCCTGGGCTCAAATGATCCTCCTTCCTCGCTCTCCCAAGATGCTGGGATTACAGGCATGAGCCAGTGCTCCTGGCCCACACGTGGATATTTCAGATCAGTAGAACTACATAGAGCCAATGGTGTATTTTTTGAAAAGGTTCCACTGGTGATCTGAGGCCAGTCATTGGCAGAGGATGTGAAAGGCAAATAGAGGCGACCATGTTAGAGATGTAGTTAATAATATGTAGAGGTAGGAGTCAACTCTTCTTTTTTTTAACTGACAAATGAAAATGAATATATTTATGGTGTATAAAAAAAAATTTAAGAAGAAAATAAAACTTGTCTTACATATTATGATAATATGAACCCTAGAGTCATTACCAAATAATTAACTAAAATGTTAGGCCTTAACCTAACTAAAAGCTTTAACCTTTATCTATCCATTTGAGTTTTCCAACATCATAAATGAGATAAACAGGGCAGGCGTGGTGGCTCACGCCTGTAATCCCAGCACTTTGGGAGGCTGAGGCAGGCGGATCACCTGAGGTCAGGACCAGCCTGACCAACATGGCAAAACTCCCATCTTTACTAAAAAAATACAAAATTAGCCGGGTGTGGTAGCACATGCCTGTAATCCCAGCTACCTGAGAGGCTGAGGCAGGAGAATCATGTGAACCTGAGAGGCAGAGGTTGCAGTGAGCCAAGATTGCGCCATTGCCTCCAGCCTGGGCAACAACAGTGAAACTCCATATCAAAAAAAAAAAAAAAAAGAGAAGAAGAGAGAGATAAACAGCTAGAATTTCAAAATGTTAACTTTCCTTCTCCTGTTTAAAAATAAATAAATAAACTACTTCCACACCCCAAGTCAGCATTTAAGGTAAAAATCAAGTATAGTCAAAAATATCCTCGAAAAATCTCTTGTAAAAAAATGTACCAAAGCTATGTCTCAAAACAAAAATCACTGTTACTTCAGGTAAACACTAAATGCTTCCTTGTACTATGGGGCCATAGCATATAAACAATACTTATACATTTACAGCATAGCAAGATGCCCACTCACTAAGAGGCACGTAGGAATAGAAACTGAGAAGAGCTCATTCATGTTTCCCATCTCACAAACATTCCAGGACTAACTCACTTAGCAGAATGAGGTGCTAAATCACCCACACTGCAAGCATTTCATTCTTTCTACCTGAAGTCACATTTATCCATTATCCATTATCCCCTAGTATGCCCCTCCTCTGAATTAGTTTGCTCAGTGCCAAGTCAATCTTTTACATTACTGTCTCCCATTCCTGTCTCCCCTCATTTGCTCTTGCCATCTCCCCAACTTCCTCTCCCCACCCTTGAAAGGATTCTCCACCCTCCTCTATCCAAATCTTACCTATCCCAGAAGGTCCAAATGAAATCACTTCTCCTCCAGGCCTTCCCAACACTGCTGGAACTCATCTGACAAATAGTCACATGCTATCTTGTGACATCTCTCCTACAGTTACTTTACTTTTGTACCATTTTTAGCTTTATGTATTAAAATCTTGCAGGAATAAAGTAAATACGTATACAATGAAACACCACTATGTACATATCTAAGCTAAGAATAAAAGTGATTACTCAAAATTACTAAAGCTACTTGGAAATAACATTGTTACCACTTCAAAAGAAAAATATTTTAAAATGTTACATTCAGTTACTTTCCTTCCTTCCTATCAGCTGTGTACTCCAAGAACTAAGTCTTATATACACGCAAGTAACTAAAGGATATGAACAGATACATTCCACAGAAAGAATTCAGTTAGAAAATATACCAAAATATTCAACCTTGTTAGTAATCAAAGAAATACAAACCAAAACAAAGTGGCATTTTTAGTCTGTTCCTGTAGCAATGTGTTTAGCCTTATGATGCCCATGCTGGTGAGGTTACATAATACTATTGCCAGCAGCAGTGTAAACTAGCATACCCTTTTGGAAAGCAATTTAGCGATGTGTTCACTCACTTGTTCACTTACTCATTCAACAAATATTTACTAAATACCACTTACAAGCCAGGCACTTTCAATACATTATTACATTTAAGTCTTAATAAAATCATGCAAGGTAGGCTGTTAATACCCATTTAAGGGATGAGAAGTTAAATTATTCACACATGATCATACAACTAGTAGGATTCAACCTCAGGACAGACTAGCTCCAAAGCCTGGTCCTTTTCCACCTTACCATACCATCCCAGTACCCCTCACCCTGACCCTCTTGACTCCTTTTTGATAAATTCATCCCTGTCGAAGATGTATTTACAATCTTGTAAGGTTGTGAAATGATATAAAAAGGAGTTCTAGGCTGGGTATGGTGGCTCATGCCTGTAACCCCAGCACTTTAGGAGGCCAAGCAGGCAGATCACACGAGGCCAGGAGTTCGACACCAGCATGGCCAACATGACAAAACCCCATCTCTACTAAAAATACAAAAATGAGCCAGCTATGGTGGTGCACGTCTGTAATCCCAGCTACTCAGGAGGCTGAGGCACGAAAATCACTTGAACCCAGGAGGCAGAGGTTGCAGTGAGCTGAGACCGCACTACTGCACTCTAGCCTGGGCGACAGAGTGAGACTCTGTCTTTAAAAAAAAATAAGTCTTCTAGGCTCCAGCAGCCACAGCAGCTGAGCAGCTATCACACTGCACAAGATGCTAGGTACCTGCTGAACACAAAAAACCTATCCAATTAAAGGATAGGCTCCTACCTATAGTAGGTGTAAGAGCTCACCTGAGGACCACACTCGACTTGGAGGAGGGGGGAAGAATATAGGGAAGAATGCTTTCTTGAGATGGATCTCTGAATGCTTTAAAATTCATTTATAGTTGAGTATTATTTTTGTAATCTTAATATAAAAACAAGTAATACATTCCTAAATGCAAACTTAAAATCAGATTAAAATATTCCTCTACCAAATTAGCTGTTTCTTTGTTGTCGTTGTTGCTGTTTTGTTGGGCTATTCAGTAGTGGTAATGATACTGCTGAGATAAAGTACTTATCTCCTATCACTGATATTAAGCATAAATTAGTAAAAATTATTCCAGAAAGTATTTTTATACTACATATATAGCAACCCTTTGGCTCACTAATTTTAGGTTAGTAATTCTGTGAATCCATGTAAGAAAAAGAAATTGTTTTACAACAATTTAAAAATCTGGAAACCCCTAAATGGTCAACAAGTTAAGTAACATAATGGACTATCCCACTTGTTGGGATTTTAAGCAGTCACTAAAAATCTCTATAACCAGTTATTGACAAATATAAGATAGTTATGTTGTAATCTAATGAAAAAAATCAGGATACAAACTAGATGAACAGAAAGCCAACTATATTTTTTTAATGTATGTATAAAGCAAAGAAATATACAAATTATTAAGAGGACCTCTCGGCGACAGACTTAGGTATAAATTTTTTTCCTTTTCAACTTTATGTAGTTACAAATTTCCTATAGACAAATGTTATTTAAAACAAAAAACTTAAAACACTCCTATATACAGAAGTCCAGCGAACAAAAACACACTGCAATAGATATTGTCTGAACCTACTAGACCAGTTCGGTTACTGTCTTCCAATGCCAAACCATCCTTTATATTCTGCTGTGATGCTGGGACTCAGCAACCTGATTTCTGATTTCCCAGCTCGATCCATAGGTTCTACCAATAGCAACTGCTAGAGGGAGACAAGGATGGAGAGAGAAGGGACTTGTTCCTTCCTGTCTCTTTATTTGCATCACCCCAACAGTGGTAATGCCCAACAGCAGCAGCTGAACCCAATATCCAATTTATCCAACCCTAGGAGAACCAATCTCATCATCTCCATCAGAGACACTAGCACCAGGCAGCTGGAGCCTCCTTCTCAGTTTGAAGTCTCGATCCCATGCCCATGGGGCCACTCTTCAAGAGACAGCAACAGCAGCACAACACTTGCCCCTAAAAGATCTCAGTGTTAGCAGTAATTTCAACTGCCTCCTTTATTCCCCTAGGTCAAGAGGTGGGGAGCTGCTTTCCACAGCTGCTATCTATGATTCCTTAGAGTTCCTGTAACCCTTCCTTATTTTAAACCTAGTCAATAAGTCTTCATACTCTGACCCATAATAAGGACTGCTGTTAACTATTATAGCTTTTATCAAATATTACTATTCAGTTATTTAAACGTAGATGAGACTGAAAACTGTCCCTACTGCACAGATCCCATCACATACCTTGAAGTGTTTTTTTTTTAATAATCTCTAATAATCAGCTTCCCTGTCACATCACTTTTAAATAAAATATACACACACTTACTATTAATTTACTGTGTAACTCTCCTTTTACTGTGCTGTATAATAAAATGCTACCAACTGCTGTGCCAAGAGCCAATAAGTCAGTCTGGTTACTCATTCCTACAGCTTCTGATTTCCTTTTTTTCCTCTGGGGACTTTCCTGGAAAAAAAGAAAAACAATGTTTTTATTTAGTATTGCAAATACTAAAACATCGTTAATGAACAAATACAAATGCCCACCAGCCCACAAAAGACATTTTAAAAGGGGGGAAGAGAGAAGCTATTGGGTGATTTACTTCTCACTACTTCAAAAAGAAATCCCTCCAATGGGAAGAGAAACTCGTAATTCTATGTCCCCCGTCTCCCACCCCTATGGAAAAAAGGCAGCAAATAGGAAAACCTAGTATGTTCTTGGTACTCTCCTAACAGGTCCAAGAAGCCTCAATGCTGTTTCCACTTCTCAGAAACAGGCCGCCCCTCCTGACAGGTCCAACCTAAGCGAAGCCTTCACTCCCCAACCAAAGAGATTCATACCCAAAAATCTATGAATCCGTAAGTCCATATCTAAGCAGCCAACTCTCCTTTATCTCTCCTAATTTTTCCACAAATTCTAGCTTAGTTGTCAAGAAAAGAGCCTCAAAAGTTTTTACCTTTATAAACGTGCATTAACTTCAATTTGAGTCAACAAATAGCTTTAACTAGTAGAGCAGCTCAGAGCACACAAGAGAGAAGTTGCCCCACTGACTGGTCAAGGGCTGGCTCAGTGATTCAGTGACTTCAGAGACAAAAGTCTCACTCAAGTGGCAAATGCCACAAGACTTCTTTCATTTCAAAAGTGATGTTAACAGCTCATGTCTTCCCAACAAAAAGACAATGACCCTAACTTAAAAGCACTACATCAGTTTATAATGCTGAGTATTTATTATGATTTCAGAACTTCTCTTCCGTGTTTTTTTAAATTACGGCTCACCAGCCTATATGTTTTTAGCATAAAGTTCTGAGAAATCCATTCTTTCACTGTAAAACAAGCCAATACCATAGAAAAGAGAATATCTTCTTAATAGTGCAGGATCTTAGCTCTACAGCACGCATGGGCATGCACACAGCCCAAGACACCTAAAAATCTGTCTTAATTCAAGAAAAACCAATGACAACCACAACGTTACCAGTGCATAAAGAGTGTCAGGGAGTAGACTTAAAAAGCACTTTCCATTTTTTTCTTTTAGTTATCCTAGGGGGATTTTACATTTAAAGAATTTGATTCATTGGACACAGATGAAATGCAGTCTAACAAAAAAAGGTAACCTACTTACAGAAAAAAATAATACACATCTTGCAAGTCCTTAGAAATATATCTTGCAAGTCCTTAGAAATGTACTAATAAACACAAAAGAGAAGTTACAATTAAAAGCCAAAGTACAAAGTCTGATGGTCTCATTTAACTTGTTGAAACATTGAAACCTCAATTTTAGGAGTGTTCTAGGTCCCCGTTTCAGTTACATGAATTTCTAAAGCTACCTTTGAATGATTCCAGGGGCAAAAATAATTTCTGTATAAGGTTATAAATACAAACACCTATTTCAGGCAAGGAGAGTTGGGGGAAGTACATTAACCTAGTACCATCTCAGCAGGAAAAGATTCATCTTTTTAAAAAGATTCCAAGAAGGCTGAGTGTGGTGGCTCACGCCTGTAATCCCAGCACTTTGGGAGGCTGAGGCAGGTGGATCACGAGGTCAGGAGTTCAAGACCAGCCTGGCCAACATGGTGAAACCCCGTCTCTACTAAAAATACAAAAAAAATTAGCCGGGCGTGGTGGTGGGCGCTAGTAATCCCAACTACTCAGGTGGCAGAGAATTGCTTGAACCCGGGAGGCAGAGGTTGCAGTGAGCCGAGATCCTGCCACTACACTCCAGCCTGGGCGACAGAGACTCATCTCAAACAAAACAAAACGAAAAAAAGATTCCATGAAATCTTTCTTCTACTCTTGGTTTTCCCAAATAAAAACTATCTAAATGGAAGTTTCTCGATGTGTGAAACAAAGACAGGTCCAAATATGCGTATGCTTTATTGCCAATTTGAATTTCCATTAAAAAGCACAAAGAAATTTTAGAAATTTACATAGCCTATGTCAAGCATAACATAGTCAAAGCCTTAATTTCTGCATCTGCAAATCTCTGTATTTTTTGGTAGAAGCAAGCAGGGGCAGGCGGAAGGAATATCTACAGCATTTATGACCAACTTTAAGGATAACTGGTCTAAACCTAAATATTACTCCAATTTATTGAACTTAAAGAACTCAGGACTCATTTATTTTTCAGGTTGGATGGTCTTTATTCAGCAGGATAAGCATATTTAAAAAGGTAACACATCAGACCAGAAGTGTATATAACCAATGTACATTTTAATGAAAACTGATACTCCAAGTATTACCCATACTAAATATTTTTCAAACCAAGAGTTTAGTGCTACTGATTATAGATGAGAAACTTCTGTTGGCATTTACTATCTAAACATGTTATTCCTGTGATCAAAAAAACTTCAATGACTCTCCAGAGAATAAATCAATATAAACAGTTCTATGGCATTTAAAAGCATCCACAATTTGCCTTCAACCCACCTTCTCTAGTCTTATCTCCAATTCCATCCTTAGGTTAACACTCCCTATACACCCATTTTCCTATTTTGCTTTTGCTTTTCCTTCACTTGGAAGGGGACCTTTCCTACTCACCTCAATTTTCATTGGTTAAAAATCCTATCCATGCTTTAAGGCCCACCTCAAATACCACCTCCTCCACGGAAACTTCTTTCCCTTAAGACACATGTCATACCCTGCATTAGACACGGCAAATATGAAATGTATTTCTTCTTTTACACTTTAGTCACAGTCAGTTGTGTTTCCTCTTAAGTGCCCAGCACAGATTATACAGATAAATATATTAAGTAATAAAAAGGTAGGCTAAAAAATTTAGTTTATATATTTGTAACTGGAAAATCTCAATTCCTGAAGGCATCAGAAGTGAATACCCCAAGGAGGTGATTTCTCGGACTAAGGAGTCTTTTCCACCATGAAGGGCAAACTGAGTTAAGCAACGAATACTGAAACCTGTCTTATGAGAAAAGCTTATCAGCATTTGATCCATCATCAGCATTTGATCCAGAAACAATCAGAAGGCTGAGGGAGAATCTGAATGGCACATGTGCATAATTTATAAAAGCAAGGAGTTGTACAGATGGGATGAAGACAGAAAAAAGCACATTCAGGTGATGAGAAGTCTGAATTTGTACAGCAATTAAAGTAATGACTTTTTAGACTAAAATCCCAGAAAAAGAGGAGTTTTACATGCAGTCACTACACTCTCATAAAAATACACATATAGAAACAAGCTTCACAGAGAAACTTCCCACGGCTAGTAGTACTCTGATACTTTCCATTCTATTTTGTTTTTTTTTTAATGTTACAATCCACTAAGTTTATTACATAATCCACTAATGGATCAAAATCTGCTCTGAGAAATACTGAACTCTAGACACCAAAAAGTATGCCAAGTTTCAAGTTTCATTCTGCAATTAGTCTCCTAATCCATTTCTTCATCTATCTCACTGCCACTGCATGTGTGTTTCACAGATAACAGTGAACAAAATGTATTCATTTTACAAAAAATCACATACAGTATTTATAACAAATCAATTAAGTCCTAATACACAGAAACTTCTATTTCTGCCAATCAGATCTATCTGCAACCTTTACTTCTTAGGAAGTTTAACTGTTAGCAAGACCTCAAGACAGACCACTGCACAGCACATGTGAACTGCCCTACATCTCTAAGGGATGGTAATGCAGATACCCAACTCAGACACCCTGTCCAATGTCTGAAATGCCATGTGCTTCATTCAACAAGTACTAAGCTGTATAGGGTCATCTTAATTGCAGTGACAGCAAAGCAGTATAAACACATTTACTGTGATAGCCAATAGCAGACAAGGTCTGTTAGAGAAGGAAAAGCAGAAAAGTCGGAAGACTTTCAAAAGTTTGAAGACAATCAAATAGCAGCATCAGTTCCTAGGTGGCTCAGTCACTTTACTATGTGGCTTTGGTAGAGAATATAATTAACATTTCTGCCTCAGTTTACACACATAAACTTGAGGAACTCTTAAAAACAGCATCCATCTAGATAGAGTCCCTCCATTTGTATTTTTGCACTTTCCTATCTTCTTGTCCTCATTAAAGGTCCTCTTCCCCCAGGCTCCAAAGACCAAATGGAATGCTCAGCTACATAACGTACAAAAACCCTCTAAAAACTATTGTGGCACGAATGCAAAGTATTGTAATCATTCTGTGACCAACAAGAGGTGACAATCTAATTTTTCTAAACACCTGTGAACCACAAACTTAACCCGTTACCCAAGAAACCCAGCACTAACTAATCTTTCTCCATTGATGAGTTATCATCACCACACTTTGTCCTTGCGTAGCAAACTGCCAATTACTAAACCAAACATAGAATACTTTTCTTACAAATTGATTTACCATATTAAATGCCAAATTAAATGGTAAAACGAGTCCAGATTCACTCAATAATAACATTTATTAAGCCACTTATTACATACTAGGCCATACTACACCAGTCACATACATTGCCTAATTTGATCCTGAGGATCCTAAAAGGTGGGTGATGATACCTCTATTTCAAATTTGAGAGTACTATATGTCATCATATAGCAGGACCTTAACAAAATGCTGGAAAGTGGGTTCAGAGCAACATCCTTTTCATGCCTCATACACTAAGCCTCAAAGATGTAAAATAAAAGGAAGGGTTTAATAAGATGAGAGCACCTTAACATGTGCCTTTTTTTTCTAAGATATCTTGTTACAGTACATATGACTTTTTAATTTTATACCATAATATATGTGCAAGTTTGTTTTAATACAAGAAAACTGTCTCTCCTTAGTTTATAAGTCAAACTGATGCTCCAAGAGGACACACCCTCAAAGTAGGGAATGTCTCTACATTCCTTCCAGCTCTCTCAGTTCTGTGACTCAAGATTGAGAGTAACAAAATCGGGGCACTTGACCAGGAGTTCGGGGCACCATGACTCTAGAGGCCACACTCCTTTATTGGTTATTAAGGCTTGAGTCAAGTCATTTACCTTTCTTAGCTCTGATTTTCAATCAGTTTTTTTAAAATGCAATTAATTTCAGGGGATTCCATAGTCATGTGGTTAAAAGGAGACAGTGCAGATAAAACGATGCTGAAACCTAGAAAAAAATTTTGTTTAATGTAGCTCAACTCTCGTTTGTCAATGAGGTCCTCAAAATTAAAACAACTTGCTCAATATGACAAAGTAAGTTTTGAGTCTGGGCTATGAAACCAAATCCAGTTATTTTTCTAGTTTACCATAGTGTTGCACATAATCCAAAACTATGACTTTTAATATGAGATTAGGAAATTTCTCTTGGGCATACAATGCAACTGAAACTCAACAGAAAAGCAAAGTGGGTGACATTTTTTCCAACCTAATATTAACTATCTGTTGCAGATAACCAAGAACCGAGCTCTTAAGGACCTGAGTTCTAATCCTGGTTCCATTTTTTACTTTATTCAAGTTGCTTAGTTTCCCAGAGTTTCTGTTTCTTTCCCCGAAACAAGGCAGAAAGTTCCTTATCAACACTTCAGGACTAACCACACAAATATCAGATATTAATAATACTTAACACTTAAAGCACTTACCTGTCAAGAACTATTCTAAGTGTTCTCTGCATTATTAAATATATTAACCTTCACAACCACTCTATGAAGAAGATATTATTATCCTCATTTCATAAATGAGGAACCAGAGGGGCAATTACCACTATGAAGCAGAGGCTAGAATCAAATATAGACAATATAGCCAGCTTGGGTCCACGCACCTACCTAACCACTGCTCCGTATTTCTCTCAGCATTAGTATTACTATCACTTTACAGGACTGTTAAAATACAACCACAGAAAACTTTGAAAATAAAAGATAAGCAGAGCGCTGTAATTTTAACAATAAAAACTGATTTTTTTTTTAGTTTTATGTTTGACTTATAAGCCCTGATAGGTTTATTTTATGAATCAACAGGATAAACTATGAAAATGTAGCTTAAAATTTGAAAAATATCTAAACATGCCCAAAGTATAGCAACTTATATGTATCCCTTTTCCCAACCCAAAAATTTAGCAGGCTTCCCAGGTCGTCAGAGAGAGTAAGATCCTAAATAGCTTTTACAGTTCTCCACATTGAAACAGCTCACATCACACACCTCAGGATACCTGATGTTTCCAAATCACTTTGCAGTGATTCGGTTTGGCTACTCTGTAAACGCAATAACCACGTGCATGCTGAGTTAGAGAGATGTAGCTGAGTGACTCAACAGTGAAAGGCATTTACCTGACACGGGTCCCTAACAATGAAAAGCTCTGCCTAACTCGGCAGTTTTCCATCTAAGGGTAATTTCATCTGCACTCATAAAACATTCACTAAATCAAGCTACTACTTCA